>NC_000010.11:50597640-50749155 GCF_000001405.40 Homo sapiens
CAGAGAATTTGAAGGGTGAGGAAATTGTTCCGTATGCTGTTTGTAGTGGTGGTTGCGTGAATTAATGTCTGTGTTAAAATTCACAGAACTGGCCGGGCGTGGTGGCTCACATCTGTAATCCCAGCACTTTGGGAGGCCGAGGCAGGTGGATCACCTGAGGTTGGGAGTTCGAGACCAGCCTGACCAACCTGGAGAAACCCTGTGTCTATTAAAAATACAAAATTAGCCAGGCTTGGTGGTGAATGCCTGTAATCCCAGCTACTCAGGAGGCTGAGGCAGGAGAATTGCTTGAACCCAGGAAGCGGAGGTTGCAGCGAGCTGAGATAGCACCACTGCACTCCAGCCTGGGCAACAAGAGTGAAACTCCGTCTCAAAAAAAAAAAAAAAGAAAAAAAAATTCACAGAAGTTGCTACACACTGAATGCTTGTGCTCCCCTCCCCCGCCCCGCCCCACAAAATTCATATGTTGAAACCCTAGTCCCCAGTGTGACGGTATTCAGAGAGGACTCCTTTGGGAAGGTCATGAGCAGGGAGCCCTCATGATGGGATTAGTGCCCTTATCAGAAGAGACAGGACAGAGAGAGATGACTTCTCTCTCTGGATGTGAGGATACAGTAAGAAGGCATCCATCTATGAAGCCCAAGAAGGGCCCTCACCAGAACCCAATCATGCTAGCTGGCACCCTCGGACTTCAAGTTTGCAGAACTCTGAGAAATAAATGGCTGTTGTTTAAGCTACCCAAGCTATGGTATTCTTGTTACAGCAGCCCAAACTAACTAGGACAGAACTATACACTTCCAAAAAGTGAATTTTACTGAATTTTAAGTTTTTAAAATTTAAAAATTACTAAAAAGTAGCATTTAAAAATCATAGAAATAACTGATGGGTCTTGGTGAATGGCTGGATATCTGACAGTTGTGGAGAAGGGGTGAAATGTGAGGGTCATATAGCTCTGAAGTTCCTTGCCAAGGGAACAATCATGGGACAGGAGACCATCAGGAGTCAGGGTATCAGAAATAAACAGAGGCTCTAAGAAGTACTGAGGGTCAAGGACCTTGGTTTCCAGACTGATTTCACCAAATGAGTGACTCCATGAAATTATGCAAGCCACATCACCTCCCAGAGCCTTAGTTTACCTACCTCTAAAATGAACAATGAAGCATGTGATCTTGAAGGTCTTTTCCTGCAACAAACATTCTAAAGTCAATTTTTCAAAAGCTATTGAGTCTAGGAAGACAGCAAAACAAATAAGGAGAAATACCCAGACAGGAAAAAAAAATAGTATACATCTGCACAAATATCACCAGAGAATAAAATAAAGTGAAACCATCAACATGTCTGAATGGTAAAGTGAGGTGATGAAAGTAGCCAATAGCAGAGAAAAGATAAGAGACCCAGAATACCACTCCACTGTATAATGGAAGCCAAGAGAAGAGAGCTTTCACAGGGGCTGGGGACAAGAGAGCTGGAATAACTCAAGAATCAAATGCTGAAACAGACAAAAAGAATGAGGACTGATAAAACAACAAAACTATACAGATTTTCATGTGATCAACAGAGTGACTGCAAAAAAACAGTAACAAAAAAACAGTAACAAAAAAGCTCCCATCAAAAACTTGCATGTTGTCTGCATATCTTGGTTGTGTCCTAACTGCTTTTGCCCTTGCATTTTCAGTCTCACTCTGCCTTCTTCATCTTTGCTGCTAAGAATATAGAATTTAATAAAACACGTAGGAACAGTTTCCCTGCAACAGCCCACTTCAGAGGCTGTAATTTTCAAAATTTAGAAATTCCTGGAAATTAAGAATATGACTGTTAAGTGCTGGGAGCCTTTTTTTTTACTTGTCCTACTTAAGTTTATTCAAAGACTCCAGAATTCTAGGAGAGAAGAAACCATTGCATTAACAGAATGGGATGTATACTTACGAAGTACTTAACGTTAACTTAAGAAGCACTAAGAATGCCTGTAATCCCATGACTGTGGGAAGCCGAGGTGGGCAGATCACGAGGTCAAGAGTTCGAGACCAGCCTGGCCAACATAGTGAAACCCCGTCTCTATTAAAAATACAAAAATTAGCTGGGCATGGTGGCACGTGCCTAAAATCCCAGCTACTCAAGAGGCTGAGGCAAGAGAATTGCTTGAACCCAGGAGTCAGAGGTTGCAGTGAGCCAAGATTGCACCACTGCACCCCAGCCTGGGCGACAGACCAAGACTGTCTCAGAAAAAATTTTAAAAAAGAAAGAAAGAAAGAAGTACTAAGATTTTATTATTGTCACTTAGTCTGTCAGGCAGGGAAATAGCTTGAAGTCAACAATATTCCCAAACTGACCAACTGAAATATGACAAATCCTTCATCTCTATCCAGAGTGGGCCTCAGGACACTATTTCACATGCTTCAAGCTATTTCAGCCAAGTGACCCCAAGGCGGCATATAACTCTGAGCACTTAACCAGAACCAGAGGATTGGGGAAATTAACAGTTACAAAGAATGCCCACATGCAAAGTTAACACAGAGTAAACTTTTCAAACACAATTACTTTTGCCAACTTTTCTTTCTGATGATTACATGTAAAAACATCAATTTCATATAACCTGGTTCTGCTGGTTATGAAAGAGGAGGGAAAAGAGAAGGGCACTTGCTTGGGCTTGAAGTCTGGTTATACCACTATCAATTTACTAACTTTGAGCAAATGTATTTACTCCTTTTTATCTCCTATTCTGCATCTACAAAATGGGGACAATCACATTCTCCATCTAGCACTCAGGCTATTAGTGACACGCCCAGATGAGATCATGTCTGTGGAAGCACTCAAGGAGAATGCAAATACAAATAGAAGGTGTTATTACTGCTATTCTATATGGGGGAAGGGGAATGAATATATTTTGAACACCCAATCACATCCCAGCTGCCTCTTTCAAGTCAACCATATGCTTCTCTCCCATCAACAGCTGGGCTGTTGAGCAGATGCCAAATTGATGGAGACAGAAAGGTGCTGAAAGAGAATGCTTCTGTTACCCAGCTTCAGTCCTCCTGGCTGGGTGAAGATAGAAAAGCCATTTCTTATCCATTTCTATTCCACTAACCTTTTTGAGAGTCTTCTATGTGTCAGACACCATGCTGGACACTAAGAACACGTTAATTTTTGACAAAACAGGCTGTGTTCTCAAGCACATCCACTCTGGAAACCACTATGCAGAAATAGCCAAGAACCGAGTCTAGGAAGATGAGGACAAATCAGAGGAGAGAAGCAGGGGTGAGAGAGTAGAGCAGCAAGGAACCACAAAGGACAGGAAGGCAGATGAGAGGGCATGACAATAAAAACCCATGTGTTCAACTAGGACTCTCAGGTCTTAACCCATGGGCCAAGGAACCACAGACACATTTTTAAGCAGTGACTAACATGATCATCCTTGCAGTTTAGAAAGAGGACTGTGACTACAGTTGGGAAGATGAAATGAAGAAGGGCAGAAAATGGGCAGCTGTAGCAGAAATCCAGGCACCAAGTGATAGGGGCTCGAGAATGAGCTAATAAAAAGAGGTAAAATGAACTTGCTTGGTGACTGGAAGGATGCAGGGGTAAGAGGAATTGTAAATGATTCCTTGGTTCTGTCTTGATGACTAAGAGGATGTTGGACTTTTTCACAAGATACAGGAAGAAGTATGGATTTGGCAGGCAAGACAATTTCACATTTTACTTGTATCACTTGGTAAATGACCTCATGTAAAGGAAGTCACTTTGTACATTTGTGACCAACCAAAAAGTTTTAATTTTCTCATCATTTAGCTGCCTGTTTCAAATTTCCATAGACAAGAGGACCACTTAAGACAGAATGGAATGGCTAGGCAAGAACCCACTTCCACATTCTTAACCTCTTGTAGCCAAAGTGAGAACATACCTGACATGAGAACTGAAGCTCAGAAAGGTTAAGTGGCTTACCCTAGGCCTTGCAGCCAATAAAAGAGGAATTAAATTTTAATCCAAGATGGTCTGCTTCCACAGCATCAGCTCTTCTTCTAGCATGCTATTGTGCTCCATTAAGTAAGGGCCTAACACTACTCATCAGATGTAGTACAGGTTGGATACCCTCTTTCCAGAATGCTTGGAACCAGAAGTATTTTGGATTTCAGGAATTTTTGTGATTTTGGATTATTTGCATATACCTAATGAGATATTTTGGGAATGGGACCCAAGTCTACCCATTAAATTCATTTATGTCTCCTATCCACCTTCTACATATAGCCTGAAGGTAATTTTATATGCGATATTTTTAATAACATTGTGCATGCAACAAAGTTTTGACTGTGTTTTGACTGCAACCCATCACATGAGGTCAGGTGTGAAATTTTCCACTTGTGGAGTCATATTAGTGCTCAAAAAGTTTTGGATTTTGGAGCATTGCAGATTTGGGATTTTCAGATTTGGGATGCTCAACCAATACCCATTCTCTGGACACTTTATTCTTCTCCTGATACTCGCCTCTGATAACAGAGTTCAGGTAACTCTGAATCACCTTGTTTTAATCTCTCCAAACACTGTTCCCACTGCTGAGCTGTCAATCAATGATCCTGTCAGCCTAGAAAACCCTGCCCCATCTCTGCTTCTTCAAGTTCATTCCAATGCCTACTTCCAATAACCAGCCACTCTGTGGCTCTGCAAATGCAGGGAGAATGTTCTGCTTCCCACAGGAGCTACTTCTGAATTCACCTGTCCTACCTTATGTCATAGCATTTAAAGTTCTTTCAGGGTAGTCCTTATTTAACTCAGTCCTTATTTAACTAACACTTGTGTCACTGGCTGAACCAAGCATGATACTTCTCCCTGTTCAATATCTTTTTGTGTGTTATATCAGGGGAAGAAGGGAGAAGAAGGCTACTGGAGAAGATGCACAGTGTTTATTTGGAGCCTGCCTACTAAACACTTATCAGGCACTCTCCTAGGCATGAGAGGGCAATGACTGAGACAGCAAGGTCCCTGAACTTACACTGAAAATGTGATGTTTATTTTTCTAAATAAATAAATATGCACACATACATAAAGCAAACACATCAAAAAGTTAACATTTGATAAAACTGGAAGCTGGATATATATGCATTTATTGTATTATTCTCAGTAGGTTCCTGAACATTTAAAATATTTTAACAATAAAAAAATTTGTAATGAGAAGAAAATAAACATAAAGCCTCTACTCTCTGTGGAAAGAACTGCTTTGTCAGACTAACTTATTTCCAAAGTGCCAGGATAGAGAAAATTTTACAGTGATCTATTTTGTTTTTAACATCATGCTCCACAGCAGACAAAACAATCAGGAGAAAAGGTGAAAATGAACGAGTTTAGACAATGGAATTCAATTCAGCAACACAATGAGGTTCTCAGCCAGTCTAGGCTGTCTTCATTTCCAACTCCTTATCCTCTGCAATGTTAAATGATAAAATAAAATACCAGAAAAACATAACCACATTCTAAAACCTTTTGCCTCTGAAGAGGAAGCCCTAATAATAACCACTACCATTTTATTCTACATCTACAGTGTGCTGGGGTCTTACAAACATGATCCCCTAATAAACCTGTAGGATGAGCTTTTTACAGATGAGGAAGTTAAGATTCAAACAACTTAAGTAATTTCCTCAACATCCATTGGTTCCATTGCTGGTGAGAGGCCGGAGCCCAGGCTGCGCACCACCAGGGCTGAACCGTGGGTAACAGAGCTAGCTTCCAAATCTCTCTCTGCCGAGAGTCAAACACCTTGGTTTTGTTTTCATTTAACCATGATGCACACCTCTCACTATCTGATACTCCTTCTCTTACTTATCGTAAACTTCTGGGCTCCCACAAAGGAGTGGATCTTACACAGAGAAAGCAGTCTCTAGTAGTAAATTCAGTAAATTTAAAAAACACACACACACAAAATCCAAGAAATCACAGTCTTGAGATACAGTATCAAAAACCGTACCTCCAAATGGTAACTCAAGGCAACAAAAAAATTGAGGGGTAAAAAACTAAATTGCACAACACACTGCAGTCATCAAAGAAACACTGCATGATTGTTTTAAATTGAACAGCCTTAACCTCTGAAGGGACCTTAATGTTGTAGTCAGCAACAAACCTGTGAAAAGAAAAAGAATTGGTAAAATCACTTTCTAATGTTATGTATCTTTAAACACTTGTGACTGTGAAGAGTGTACAAAATTTATCTTCCACATGTAGACAGAGGGGCAGGACAAGCTAGAGCATACATAAACAGGTTAAGATTTTATTATTTACTAAATTTTCAAAAATGTAGAATAACATTAAACTTGAAATACATGCCATTGTTTATTCTAGTAGGAGTTACATTAACCATTCTGGAAACAAAATATAGATCAGAAAATGAGAAAAGTCAGATTTAATCTAAACGTCAACATTTCTGACCCCTAGAGTTTATTCCTAAAATAGGGGCCTCAGTGCAAAAACGGCACTGTACACTTTGCTTTTCTATCACTTCCTCCTGCACAGTCTAAGCTCTGATGACAGCTCTCAGACAGTAAGGAAACTGCTGAGTCAAAACCACATAATCAGAGCCCTCCACCAGCTGGACCCTCATAAACCTGACACCCCACCCAAAAGAAAGCAAACTGGTCCCCCACATGAGCCTGCACGTAACAGGCTGCTCACCACCAGGGCTGAACCGTCGGTGAAATTTACATGTGCAACCCAAGCAGAGGTTCCAGGGACGGTGTCTAAAGAAGAACTATTAGGAAGATAAGAGAACCAGAACTGTAGAGAGCCACCAAAAATGCACAACATATAACAGACTCCAACAGCAAACAGGCAATTATTTGCCTAGACGTCTGATACAGTGCCAGGTTAGCTCACTGCACTTGAAATTTTAACGGCACAAAAGAACCGCAATTATCTTTTTTCCCAGAGACACATTTCTTTGATTACATCTTGCATGCTGAAATAAAAAATTTATTCAAACAGTTTCAAGGTTATTCTTTGGAATGGAGTATTTGACTGATTGCCAAATGTATAAATTATATGACTAAGTATTAAACATGTGTGTTTACTTTGTTCCAGAGGTCACCTATTTAAATCAAGGACTTAAAAAGTCCTCGATTGATCAACTCCACAAAAAAGAAGAAAGATTATTTATCCCTATAAATCTACACATACACCCATCAGTAAAAAGACCAAGACAGACTCCAAAAAAATGACTAAAAAGATCATACAAGAAATATAAATATAACACAATACACAATGCTGTCAGTAAACTCACCGATAAGCCTCCATCTTCAGATAGATCATGTGCCTTTAGAAAATGTGAGCAATGTAAACAAACAGATTTGACTGGCATTGTTTAAAACCACCAGTTAGTCACATTTGATTTTTATCAGGCCTATAACGGTACAAAACATTTCACTTCTGTTACTACAAAGCTGGAAGCTAATTTCAATTTCCTACATCTCCACAAAAAAGCACCTACAGACATGTCACTGCAAGATGCCCAGGCACCACAAAACCCCGGACCACTGCATGGAGTCAGTGGGGAGCATACTGCTCTATATTCTCCATTGGGCCTCCCCTACCACCCAGATTTGGGAAAAAATACAAATTAAAATCAAGGGAGCTTGCTGTGCAAACACAGCCTGTAGCTCAGAACCTCAGCCCCACTTCCAAACAGAATGTCATCCATAAACAGAAATTCCAGAGCTGCCACAGTGAGACAGGCTCACAGAGAAGCATACCACTGAAATAAATCATATCTGCATATCCAGTGAGCATTTAACCAGCTCAGAGTGAACTAAGGAACCAAACACTACTGCCAGATTTTCCCTCCTAAGGTACTGACAAGTAAGAGCTATCAGAGCAAAAGATATGAAAACACCGGCTGTTTTCCAACAACCCTGACAGGACTTGCTCAAGGTTGCTGCCAAGTTTGCTGGTGAGACTGCTCTGAAGTATTGTGAAACCACACTCTTGACCTCAGGCAGTACTAATACCTTCAACTAAACACTGTTCAAAGTGGTGGGTGTGTTTATAACTGTAAAGGCAGAATTTCCTTGACCACACAGTGATAAGGCACCCTCTAATAAAACTGATCACAAGAAGGCACATATTTTTATTTTCCTTTTTATTTATACAAATGTATGGGGTACATCTGCAATTTTGTTACATGCATAGATTGCATAGTGGTCAGGTCAGGGCTTTTAGGGTATCCATCCCTCAAATAATATACATCATACTCATTAACCAATTTCTCCTCATCCTCCCCACTTCAACCCCTTCACCCTTCTGAGTCTCCATTATCTATTGTTCCACTCTCTACATTCATGACAAGGAACATATTTTAAGAGACACCTTATTTTCTTTTAAAAAGAGTCTCTTGAAAGATGTTTGTCTTGAACAAATATTTGTACACCTGTGTTCACAGCAGCACTAACCACAACAGCAAAAGATAGAAGTAACCCAAGTGTCCAATGACAGATGAATGGATAAACAAAATGTGGTATATCCATACCATGGAATATTAAAAAGGAAGGAAATTCTGACACATGCTACAATATGCGTGAACTCTGAAAACATTATGCTAAGTAAATCAAGCCAAATACTAAATAGTTCCACTTATATGAGGTACATAGTCAAATTCGCATATACAGAAAGTAGAACAGTGGTTTTCCAGGGGCTAGGGGTAAGAAACAATGGGAATGATTGTTTCATGGGCATAGAGTTTCAGCTTGGGATGAGGAAGTCATTCTGGAGATGGATGGTGGAGATGGTTGCACAACAATTTGAAGGTACTTAATGCCACTGAACTGTATACTTAAAAATTGTTAAAATGGTACATTTTGTGTATGTGTATTTTACTATAATCAAAAAAGATGTTTGTACTTGTTTAAAGTATAGATTTGGAATAGTAGAAATATTTTAAAACTATAAAAATACAACATATATTTCTATGCATATTTAAGAATCTACCAAAGTTGTCTTCAGCTTCCACACTTGGCGAAAATCTGACCTTCAGTCTCAGTCTGGAAAGCTAAAGAGCAGGATGCATTCTTCAAATGTCACTTCTGGCATCCTTGAACTGATGTATGATCAATGATTGCATCACCGTGTAAGTAAACATCACAACAGCATGACGTCAGTGATATGAACAAGGCATTATATTTGAATATCTGCTGTTAGTATCCAAAGACTCATTTTCAAATGTCGGTGAACATTCCAGATGTATCCTAGAATCTCCTGCATCCATCAGCAAACTATATGACACTCAAGATTTTGTCACGTACTTACCAAAGATGTTCAAAGATGGAATGTCTGGTTATTATATAACAAAGCTCAGCTCTAGCATTGTACTTTTTTTTTTTTTTTTTGAAACAAGGTCTCACTCCATCACCCAGGCTGAAGTGCAGTGCCATAATCACAGCTCGCTGCAGTCTCAACTTCTTGGGCTTAGGTGATCCTCCCACCTCAGCCTCCCAAGTAGCTGGGACTACAGATGCACACCACCACACCCAGGTAATTTTTTTTTTTTTTTTTGGTAGAGATATGGTTCTGCTATCTTGTCAAGGCTGGTCTCAAACTCCTGGGCTCAAACGATCCACCCACCTCGGCCTCCCAAAGTGCTAGGATTACATGTATGAGCCACTGTACCTGGCCTAGCATTGTACTTTGTGTATAACAGCATTGACATGGCAAGTCTACTAACAATATTAAAGAGCATGCTTACTAACAGTCAATGGTTGCTTGCAGGGAAAGCAGTCAATTGTTGAAAACTGAGGGTACCTTGAGAGGGCAAACATTTGTCACATATTACCTCTGCAAAGATTCTTCTGTCATTCTTCTCCAGGGAAGATATTGAAATTAGTGTGCAGGCAGTGAAAGCTAAGATGCAGATGGAGATTCCAAAACAGCTCTGTTATCTTGAAAGCCAATTTCATTTCTCTACAGCCACACTTTTAGAGCCAAAGCTTAAGGATGCATTTTTCTCTCAACTGGTTGTGTGAAGCAGCAAGTGAGTACAAAAATATCAGGGAAAAATGTGTAGAAGGACAACAATTTCACTTCTGCTTCTGAGATTATCCAGATATATTCTCCTTCAAACAGTGCACAAAGCTGGGGTTAGGAAATACTAAAATGAAACCACATCATCATTGCCAAGAAAATCTTCAGGTCCAGGAGTCACAGAGAAGACAAGTCAGTTATATGACAAAAGATTAATAAGTTGGAAAGAAACTACCACTCATATTGTATTACATGGACAGAGCCAGCAAAAATAATAATATAAAAACAAACTAAACAAATAAGTAAAGGCCTTGCTCCTCCCTCCTCCAACTCAGATCAAAGTCAACATCCACCCAGTATCACAAACATTAACAGCACTGATCGTATATGCTAAGAAATCAAGTCCCTGTACCACAATGCCAAATTCTATTTTAATAACAAAACTGTAATAATGTTTATAAAATGTCAAACTTGTACTTGTATCCCAGAAGTCCATTCTAGGACAGCAAGATTTAGCTTTGGCAATACTATTCCTTTCAGCATTCCACCTTTCAGCATTTGATCAAAATGTGCATTTGGTGAACATCTAATATTTATAGAAAATAGATCAGAGAGATATACACCAAAATGATAACAGCAGTTATCTATGTGTAATAGGGTTATTACTATTATTTTAACTTATACATTTTCTAAATAAAGGAGGAAGAGCAAGAGGGGAAAGAGAAGGAAAAGGGTAAGAGAAGAGGAGGAAGAGAAATAAGAAAAAGAAAAGTTGTCCTTGAAAGAAAACCCATCTGGCTAAAAGGCTAGTGCAGAGCAGCCTTGGGCGGTCAGCACAGGCTGTACACCACAAGATTTCAGGGGACGCTACTCAGTGCCCACTCCTCAAACACTGTGCTGAAGCCACCCCACCCTTACACCTCAGCCTCCCACAGTGCTGGGAGAGAAAAGAGAGTTTCAAGGAAGATAGTATTATCATCGAAATTTAATCAGTGTGATATCTTTATTACTTAAAGCTTTTTAAAAAATCAGTAATTTCAAGTCAAAGATGTAGCCTAATAACAAGTACAGAGAAACACACCTGATATGACTATACAGGTGGCAAAATTGCCTGTGAAGGAGACATTCTTTTTGTAGACTTCCTATGAATACAATCACCCCTCAGTAACTCAGGAGATTGGTTCCAGGACCTCCAGGGACACCAAATTCCGTGGATGCTCAAGTCCATCATATAAGATGGCATGATATTTGCATATAACCTACACAAATCCTCCTGTATCCTTTAAGTCATCTCTAGATAATGTATAATACATAATACAATGTAAATGCTGGGTAAATAGTTGTTATGCTATAATTTTTTGTTTTTTGTTTTTTTGACACAGGGTCTCACTCTGTCGCCCAGTTTGGAGTACAGAGGTGCAACCTCTGCTCACTGAAGCCTCAACCTCCCAGGCTCAAGCGATCCTCCCACCTCAGTCTCCCTGGTATCTGGGACTACAGGTGTATGCCACCACGTCTAATTTTTGTAGAGACAGATTTTGCCACATTGCCTAGGCTGGTCTCGAACTCCCAGACTCAAGTGATCCACCAGCCTCAGCCTCCCAAAGTGCTGGGATTACAGACATGAGCCACCATGCCTGGGGGTATTTTTTTTATTGCATTGTTATTTTTTGGCTTTTTCCCCAAATATTTTCAATCTATGTGATTGAATCTGTGGTTGCAGAACCCATGGATTATTTACAGAATTTTTTAATGACAGAGTCAGTATGACCTGACTCTTGCCTTGGTAGACTAAGACCTGTTGAGGACATATCTGTCTAGTTCATCACTGTGTCACCAGTACTCCACAGGGTACCTGGCCCATAGTAGGGCCCAACCAGTACCTTCTCAATAGTTTTTTTTTTTTTTTTTTTTTTACAAAGGCATTACATACCTTTTTGCACATAACAATGCTTTCAGAACAACTTTCTTTATGACTATTCTCAACAGTTACCTAGTATTCCATTGTGTGGATATACATAATTTGTTTAACCAATCCCCTATATTTTAATATTACATTTCCAACTTTTCACTATGATAAAGAGCTCTGGGATGAATAATGACCTTGATTATTTCTTAAAATAAGCCCCTAAAAGTAGAATTGCTGGGTCAAAGAGTGTGTGAGCATCTACGGTCTCACTCTTCAAAGCTACCCTCTAGACCCTTATCTTGAAGGCAGTAGTCATGAACTTTACTATTTAGGTAAGCTACTATGGACTTCTCAAGCAGAGCAATCTCCTAAAACAGGTGCCTTTGGCATCAGCAGCCAAAGCTCCAGACCTATCTTCAGTACCCATCAGACACAGAAATCTGAGAAGCAGCAACTGCTCCAAGGGGCCTCTGTGCTCCTCCCAATGGCTCAACCTCCTCTTCTTGCTCAGTGGAAGACAGAAACACATTGTAGCATCATACGCACCTCCCCGCCTTTGCTTCCACTAAGTCAAATGGTCTTCCAGTGATGCCAGCGGTATCATTTTGTTTCCCATCCCACCCGTAAGACACAGAAACGTCAAGCCGCACAGAACTACAACAAGGCTGTCAGTGTGTGTCTGCCTCACCCCCTTTTACCTAGTCACTTCCCATTAGTTCCTCTAAAAAGAGAAAGATAGAAATATGAAGGAACTTTCCATGGCATAATTTTCACTTTTTATCCACTTTCATAAAAAATGGGCCTTTTAAATACCTTCCTGGTGAATTTAATGAGAGTTTTAGATGCACTGTCCCCCAAAATACACTTAAATACATGGTGGCTTCAGGAAACCCATCCAGGGACCCCCAATAAGAACCTGTGGGCCACACATAGGGCCTTGAAACGAATGAGCAAAATGAGGCTTGAGAAACTCCTGAGAGCGTTCTCACAATCCTGCCTGTTTCTAAAATCAAAGTGAGAGGGAAAGCCGGCCATGCTGAGGCCCCTATGGAAACCTGGAACACTGCCCAGCCAACTGCTTGGAACTTTGTAGAGCCTTTCAAAGTAACTTAGTTGTCACTACATGGACCACAGCAGTAAAGCAAATGTTAAATTACCAACCTTGTGAACAGGTGGCAGAGACATTCTGAGGCACAGGTGAGGTTTTGCCTCCTGACAACCCGACATGCTATATATTTGCTTATTTGATTATTGTCGGTCTGACCCTTACCAAGAAAACTCCATACGAGCTGAGACTTTGCTTTGTTCACACCTGTATCCTGGCCTCGTTCAACGTCAAAGCTGCCAGTCTCCACAATTCTGAAGGCTCAGGCTAGAGATGGAGGCCATCTACAAAGGCTTCCACAAAAAGCAATGGCATACAGGGGACATTCTGTGTACTTGGGTCTGGGGGTGTGTAGAGTGAACTAATAGCCAGGGGAATAATAGGGACAGGCTCTGGGATAAGATCAGGTAGAAACACAGAGGAAGGGACTATGCAGTCCACGTGGTGAAAATCTCGACAACACACGGCCAGAAAACTGGGTACAGATAGTGCCTGTGCAATAGCCCATCTCACTTATGGTCCATCTAGTCAAATGAATGGTCAACACGCCACCCAGGAGAGGAAAGGGAATCAACACGCACTCTCTCTTACAGGAAATCTCAGGGTCACCCTCTGCTGCCACATCCCAAGGCCACCTCAACAACTGCAGAATGCAACCCTGTACTACTGTGGACACACGCCAAGGGTCTTCACACCACGACACTTGTGACAGAGTGGTTATTATCCCCATTTCACATGAGAAAGCCACTGCCCCAAAAGGATTTAAACCCAAGCCCACTGTTCTTCATCACTCCTCAGCTGGCTTTCAAAATCAGGGCCCCTGGGTCCTTGCCTTCCCAGTTCCTGTTATCTAGAAGACCCTGGGTGTCCTGACATCTTACAAATGGCTCAGAAATTGCATTACTACCTCACCAGTGTGCTTGGACAGCCAGCAGCATCTTTCCTCACTGCCCTCACCTACTCTGCCTCTGTCTCAGATGACCAGGACAGCCTGACTTGGGCTGAAGGCCGTGGGTCCTCTATACAGACTGTTTCTTTCACAATCCTCTTCTGGTCCCATGGCCTTTTCTCCAGCATCCCAAGCATCTCTGCTCTCCAGTCATCCTCCACCTGCCTGTGCACCTTCATCCCTGCCGCTGCCCCCTGCCTTTCCTCCACCCTTCCCTCTCCCCTCCTGGTTTCCTCAGGAGTAAAACATTCCTCTTCTCTGTTGGCCTCAGACACACTGGCACCCCCCATCCCCTTTTCCAACTCCTGCCTAAACTGTCAGCCTGTGTCTGTTAGGGGGAAAGAAGCTGTGGGCAAAGCCTGCCTTCCCACCCTATCTCCCTCCCAGTCCTGATTTCTCCTGCCTCTGCTGCTTTCACCCAGCCCCCTGCCAGTGGGGTGGGTACCACTTCAGCTAGCCCTCCCCACCACTTCCTTAGGAGATAGTTTTCTTGAGGTTTGTTCTCTACCATCCTGCCCCAGGGCTTTTTTCTTCAATCCCTCCATCTCCATCTGTGACTATTGGGAACTCCCTTCCAAATTTAAGCATCTTCCACCTGCCAAGCTTAGCTGAGGATCCTCCACCCCTTAACCTGAGATTTGTTATAACATCCCGTCTTCATGGATTCACATAGAATACCTGCATGAAACTTTTAGAAGACTGAACATCCACATTTTGCTCCCTTAATGGAGACAGCCTGCCAGAAGGAATATCCATTACAACCTGGGAAATGCAAACAGCTTATTGCTATTTCTATAAAGTGGTCTGGACATGAAATTAAATAGGACTGGGGAAGGTAGTGCTGAAATCAGCTTCTTTTGTTAATGAATAATAAGCAGCTGGCGAAAAGGAGGAGTGGAGGGGAGAAAAAAGAAAACAAGGAACTGGAACCACTGAAAACACAAATGAAAGGGGAATTTCACACTTAGCCAAAAATTCAGGGAAAATAAAATAAAACTTTGTTTTTAATAGAGTCTTTCTTTTAAAAGTTGATTTATCTTAAAGATAGAAAGTCGTTAATCTTCTCCAGGTTTTACATTCCTAGCAGACAGCTAACATTTAGCCACTTTGTTGTTTGTTGTTGTTGTTGTTGTTCTGAGACAGAGCCTCGCTCTGTCGCCCAGGCTGGAGTGCAGTGGCGTGATCGCGGCTCACTGCAGCCTCTGCTTCGTGGATTCAAGCAATTCTCCTGCCTCGGGCTCCTGAGTAGCTAGGATTACAGGCGTGCGCCTCCATGCCAGGCTAATTCTTGTATTTTTAGTAGAGATGGGGTTTCACCATGCTGGCCAGGCTGATCTCGAATTCCTGACCTCATAGCCACGTTTTTTAAAAACAAAGAAAGTAAACTCTTAAGTACTCTTGTAACTCCCCAAGTAGTTTTGAAGTGCAGTCCCAGCTCTGATTCTCCCTTTGGGGGCTGACCACTTATAGCACACATCTTCCTAGGCTTGTCTCTGCTGTCAGGATTATGTCACTAAAAATGAAAACCTCATGTGGCTTTCAACCCTAAAACAAAAGAAAATAAAAACCAAAAAAATGCCACTTCTGGCTCCATCTACACTGACCTATGGTATGGATTCCCTTCTGTGCACTCTGCTGACACAGGGAAACTGGGCAGGTGACCTCTGTCCAGTCATCCCACCCCTGACCCAGGGAGGCTAGGTGTGCAGCTTTGATACTGTACTCACTACTTGGTGATGACATCATCTGTGGACATGTCTGTCTCCCCACTAATCCCTCAAAGACCCAGACCCCATCGCACTCATCTCTGTATCTCAAAGCTCACCAGGGAAACTGGCCCATAGGGGATTTTCAACACATATTTACTGCCACTGTCAACCCTGAGTTATAAAATGACCAGACTGGAGAGTGTCTCCACACCTGAACAGGCCTCTCTAGCCTCTTCAGTCGGCCCCTGGCAATCCCCCCATCCTCTCTGCCCTGCCACATTCCCTCACCAAGCAAACGAGCTGTTACAGGCTGACAGGGTCACAGGAGAGTCCTGATAACTAGCACAGAGAAAAATCTAAACCAGTGTTCCTTCCCAAATACAACTTACTTGTATTGTTCACCTCCGAGTTCTTTCTAAATCCTGAGTTCCTACAAAATATTTAAATTATAAAAGGTTTTCGTCCCGAGGTTTTATATATGTAACATTCTTTCAAATAGGAAAAAGTGTAGCCTGGATTGCAAGACAGAAAACTTCTGCTATAATAATAACTATTCATACTTCTTGAGAGCTTAATGTGTGTAGGTGCTGTACTAAGCTTGGTACACATTGTAGCTATGTGACCTCGTGGCAGCTGGAGGAAAGCTGTACAAAGCTCTTTTTTCCTACAAACACAGTTTTCTGCTATAATTAAACTAGGCAAATAAGATTATCTTCTGCCTCTCCACTGTCAGGTTATGTATCTCAATATACTTTTAATTTGTCTGTGCCTAAATTCCTCCATGGGGATAAGTGGTGAACAGGAAGTCTTTCTTTTTTTTTTTTTGCCAATGGAAGGGGGAATGAAAAATAACAAAAATAAATGAGGCCATCTTCCTAAGATGGGATGTAATGATGGCACTCCAAGCTTCTAATGAGTGCTGACTTATATTTCCAAGTTTTCTCTCCACCTTGGGATCATCTCTCCTGAGCCATGCCAGAACCACTGGTGAGCAGGAAAAGCAAGTTTCTGCTCTGGACTGGCTCAGACACCCCTCTGCTGTCCTAGATAAACAGGACCACATGAGTTCAGTTTTTATTTCATGAGGCGGAAGGCACTTCCAATGTCTAAATCTGAAATCATCCCACCTGACTGTAACTAGAAGTAGTAGCAGCTGGCTCCTCGCTGACATGGGCACTGCTGATGGCAGTGGTTGGCAAAGAGTGGTCCCCAGACCAGCAGCATGACAGTATCCAGGAACACATTAGACATGTCAACTGCCCACTGCCACCTGCCCCAAGCTCTTTGCCTCAGAAACTCTGGCAGAGGTGGGTCCCAGCCCTGGGCGTTGTAAGCAGCCTTCGAGTGATTCTGATACACGCTGAAATCTGAGAGCCACTGGCTTCACCTGATAAACATCTGAGGTCATGGGAATGCCCTGCTGGGCTAACCTGTGTATTACAACGCTTTATGTAAAGGTACTGGCTCTCCACCAACAGTACCTACTTCTGTTATTTCTGCCACCTGGCAAAGGCCCCAAACACTAAACTCCAGGGCATTCTTTTTCCTACTTTCTTGGGCAAATTACTTCTGTCCCACTCTCTTTGTCCTCAAAAAAGGTATGATGACAATATCCATTTCATTGGGTCAAGGACTTAGAAAGTGGCTGGCATGCAGTTAGCCATCAACAAGTGTGAATCCCTGTGATTCCGACATCTCTGCCAAAAGGTCTAATCAGAACTAGGAATATAGCAAAATAAAATTCGCTTCCTGAATGCTTACCACCTGACTTTTTCTCCCCACTCAATTCCAGAGCCCTGAGTGAGGACATCCAGGAATGACAGAGAATGCACCTGGCTCCACTGTCTTTCAGTATTTACTTGTTCAGTCTGCAACCTGAGCGCCCACTGAATGCCTGCCGACATGTGGAAAAAGCCATTCTATAAATTTGTACAGCCTCCAACCAGGTCTTTCCGGACAAAAGCCATCCAATTCTGGGGCATAAAGCCTCACACACCTCAAGAGAGGTACAGGAGGAAGGTGATGAATATTAACAAAAGTTGTCATAATAACAGCTAACATTTATGTTGTGGTTACCATGCCAGGCATTCAGTACCTTATAAATGTTAATATAGTCCCCACAATAACCCTGTAAGATGGCTGCTGTTATGACACCTACCAGAGAGTTGGGGAAACTGAGGTGCAGAAGGTTTGCATAACCTGCCTAAGGTCCCACAGCTTCTACACGATGAGGCTGAGATCCAAACCCAGGGTCCAGGGTCAGGGCTCTTCACCACTGTACTATAAGACAGAGAGCTATTGCTTATCTAGGCATCTTCTAACTATTTATCACCAATCCCACAGCACTGATTTTGAGATACTTATGTTTGGGCACAATATCCACTGTCATGGGATTCAATGCTGGGCCCTCAAGGCTCCCAACAGAAATGATAATTCTACTTGGTTTCTCCAGCGCCTTCTCCCCTCCCTAAACTAGTTCCACCCAAGCCAAATCAAAACTTCACAGAGCAGAATCTCTCTCCTCTCATAACTCCCCTGGCACTGCACCACTTCACCTCTAATTATATACCATCTGTCACATAGAGTTCTCTAATTGTTTCTTGCACATTAGCCTTTTCTTCCCCAGTCGACTGTAAAATTCTTTGGAAGTACCCATATTTTTTGTGAAACCCAACAAAACTAGGCAGAAACATGGGCTTGCAAATGTAGTCTTAGAGAGTGTTACACATTTATTGGCTAGCTAATTCACTTTGCTTTTCTGACTCTTCTTTATTATCAACCCTTAAAAACAGACAAAAGTATTAAGTTTATGAGATTTATTTTATTTATTTTTTGAAACAGGGTCTTGCTCTGTCATTCAGGCTGGAGTACAGTGGCATGGTCACAGCTCATCACAGGCTCAACCTCCAGGCTCGAACAAGCCTCCCACATCAGCCCCCCCGCCCCAAGTAGCTGGGACTACAGGTGCACACCACCACAACTGGCTAATTTTATGTATTTATTTATTTATTTATTTAGTAGAGACAGGGACTCACCGTGTTGCCCAGACTGGCCTCAAACTTCTGGGCTCAAGTGATCCTCCCACCTCGGCCTCCCAAAGTGTTGGGATTACAGGTGTGAACTACCATACCCAGACAGTTTATGCTATTTAAAACCAGCATTAGGGGAGGTATTCCACCAACATAACCTAAGCAACAACTCTGTTTCAAGATCTGTATTCCAAGCATCTCCTACAATATCTTTTAAACCCTTCAGCAGCCTCCCTAAGCGGCGGGGGGTGTTGTTATTCCAGTTTGAGGAAAGAGGAACCAGGGCCTACCAGGGGTGAGTAATTTCACCAATGTCATTACAGGCTGATAAATGAAGGAAGATTTTAAAAGATCTGTCCCAAAACACCTATTAGCCTCCCTCTAATGTGGAGACTAAGGTGCCAAGATTCAAATTATCCTCAAAGCAACCTTTATAAAAAATGTTATCATGACAGAGAAAATTTGAAACTCTATTAAAAAGTCATTTTTAAAAAGATGAAATGATGACCATGTTCACGGACAGAATTACAATAAGACAGAAAATCTTACAATATTAGACAGAAAAATCATATTATATATTCAATGCAATGCCCATCACACTTTCCTAACTTTGTTGAGAACTTAATAAGCATTCCAAAATGCATATGGAAGTATAAACATCCACAAATAACCAAGTCAAAGTATAAAGAAAAGTAGGGGCTCATTCTGCCATATAAAACACACTGCAATGCTATAATAAAAAAAATTGGGGGGGCATAAAAACAGACAGATGATTGGTATCAGTATGTCGCAAGTAATGGGGACAGTTTCAGTTTGGGGTGATAAAAAATGTTCTGGAAATGCATAGTGGTGACAACAATGTAAATGTACTTGATGCCACTGAATTATACACTTAAAATGGTTAAATGATAAATTTTATGTTATGTGTATTTTATCATAATTTAAAAAGATTTTTAAAAATCAGTATGTTGAATGAAAGGAACCAGACACAAAATGGTACTATACTGTATGGTCCATTTACATAAAATTCTAGAAAACACAAACTAAACTACAGTGACAGCATATCAGTGGTTGCTTAAGTCTGGGGACAAAGGGATTACAAAGGGGCCCAAGGGCAATTTTGGGGTGATGGAAATGCTCTGTATCTTCACTGTGATGGTTTCACAGGTATGTACATCTGTCAAAAGTAATCAAGCTGTACACTTTGAATGGATTTAGTTTACCTATATAAGTTACAACTCTTATTTTTATTTATGTATTTATTTATTTATGAGACAGGGTCTCACTCTGTCACCCAGGATGGAGTGCAGTGGTGCAATCTGGGCTCACTGCAAACTCCGCCTCCTGAGCTCAAGCAATCCTCCCACCTCAGTCTCCCGAGTAGCTAGGACTATACCAATTAGCCAGGCTAATTTTTGTATTTTTTGTTCAGACAGGGTTTTGACCAGGCTGTTCTCTGTTCTTGAATTCCTGGGCTCAAGCAATCCACCTGCTTCAGCCTCCCAAAATGCTGGGATTACAGGTGTGAGCCACTGCACCTGGCCCTGGCTTAATTTTTTTTTTTTTTTTTGTAGAGACAGGGTCTCTCCATGTTGCCCAGGCTGGTCTTGAACTCCTGGACTCAAACAATCCTCCCACCTCAGTCTCCCAAAGTGCTGGCATTACAGGCATTGAGCCACCACGCTCAGCCTTAATAACTCTTAATAAAGTTGAAAAAGTAAACTAATATGTGTCTGTGGGAATCTGAGGTATGATAAAAGTGGCTCCACAAAACTATATGAAGGAAAGAATACACTGTTTAATAGATGATTTAGGAAAACTGTCTCACAGAATGGAAAGGAAAAAAATAATGTGAGATTCCTTTGTTTTCCCATATATGAAGATGAACTTCAAATAGAATAAAGCCCTCAATGTGAAAGGTAAAACTGGAAAGCTGACAGAATACAGAATATCTTTGTAATCTTGGGGTAAGGAAAAATATCTTATACTCTTAAAGTGCAACCTAAGGCAAAAATTAATGGACTGGGGCTATATCAAAACTAAAAATTTCTCAAAGTTACCATTGACAAAGTTGATAAACAGAAGACAGGATGAGATTAACATCTAGAATATACCAAAAAAATCTTCAAATCACCACATTAGGAAAAGCAAGTATGGCTAGTCAAAGAAATTATAATCACTAATGAATATATTAAAAGAGTTCAAATTTACTAAGAAATCATATAAGTTCACAAAAAGAAAACCCAATGAGATCCCACTTTACAGCCACCAAACATTGGTAAAACTAGAAAGTTGGTTAATAACAAATTTGAGTAAGAACGTGGGGAATCAGGAACCCTTGTGCACTGATGTGGAACAGAAAGCAGCTGAGCAACTCTGGAGAGTAATTTAGCAGTGTTTAGTAAAAACAGGTATGTTTGTACACCATTACTCAGCCATCCCACTCCTAAGTACATACCCTTAGAGCAGCGGTTCTCAAACTTTCCCATGTATCAGAATCTCCAACCTGGGCATGCTGAAACACAGTTCAGGGTTTCTGATTCAGGAATTCTGGAATGTTAGGACCCAAGAATCTGTATTTCTAACAGTTCAGAGTTGATGCCGATGCTGCCAGGTGTGGACCATACTTTAAGAACCACTACCCTAGGGATATTCTCAACCAGATCATTAAGAAAATGCACACAGACCCAGCTACTCAGGAGGCTGAGGTAGGAGAGTCTCTTGAGCCTAAGAGGCAGAGGCTGCAGTGAGCCAAGATCATGCCACTGCACACCTGCCTGGGCGACAGACCGAGACTCTGTCTCAAAAAAAAGAAAAAAAAGAAAGAAAATGCATACAGGATGTTTGCTAGTGGTAGCAGGAGTGGAGGTGAGTTAAGCATCCATCATTAGGGAAATGGGTAAGTAAAAGTAGGAGACACATAAAAGACCAGCCCTACAAAGCAGCAGTCAAGGCAACGCACTAGATAAACCTGCACTAACAAGGATCTCACAAATAAAATGTTAAGGTTCTTCTGACTTTTATGAATGCCTGCAAATTTCCATAATAAAAAGCTCTAATGTTGAATAAAAAAAGAATGAAATCTATAGCACAGAACCACTTATGTAAATCAAAAACAAACAAAGTAACTCAACATCTTTAACAAAATACATACATATGCAAGAACATATCCTGCACTGGAAAGAAGGCTCCTCTGGGGGAGAGGGGCCTGGGGGGTGCTGGGAGGGGAATGAAGGAGAAAAACGTAAAACAAGCAAGGGGCTTTTGCACAGTGAGAGGATCCTGTGCCAAGAACTGGAATGTGAGCTCAGCTCTCAGCACCAGGAGTCTAAAAGGTAAATCACCCAAATTATCTAAATCTCCACTCACCTGTCTGTACGTATAATGGTTGCTTCAGTTAAAGCCCTTGTGGCTTTACATCATTAAGGGAGTAGATCAGCTTGTCACTGAGAGTGGAGGGGAATCTTTCTCAATACAAGCTTGGGGTGATTTCAGGCCCCCAAAATCAAACCTGCTACTGAGTCCTGGATTTTCCCTTTGACATATTAGTTTAAAAAGACACTGGTGCTCTTGGCTTTTGGCAGAGTGTGTGTGTCTCTTTCTCTGTGTCTTTCTCTTCGCTGTCTGTGTGAGTCTCTGTGTCTGTGGATCTGTGTGTGATGTGTTTATCTGTGGAGATGGAGGACTGGGAGAACAGCAAAGCATTCCAGCAGGGCCTGAGCCAAACTTATTCATCAGCACCATTCAATGCAGCTTTACTGAATCCAGAAGTCAGTTATAAAACCAAGCTACCTTCCTGGGGCTCCGCCCACCCTTCTCTTTCCCTTTCTTCACTCTCTCCTCCCTGACATCCAATGCTGCCTCCCAACTCCCACATCCAAGTGGGCTGATCCAAAATAAGGTCCTCTTGTGACTGGGTAGCTTAATGGAGGTAACAACCTTTACAGGGATGCTCTTAGAGAGGAGAAATAGCCATTTATATTCCTGACCAAAAGCCTTTAATAGGAAAGCCAAAAATCTTGAAGACCAGCATGTCATAAAAGTTCCTCCAGAAGAGACTGTTATGGCTATAGCTACCATCCAAAAAAGGCATAGCCATCTATAACATGTTATGCCCCCACAAGGACACAAGAGCCACTGAATAGTTTGCCATATGAAGTGGTGGGAAAGTGTATATGGCAATCAAAAAATAAAAATCACCATTGATCAAATTTGTGTGAGAAAATGCAACAGATTCTTCTGACAGGATTGCTTTAAAAAGCAAGCTCATGCCAAGAAAGTACATCTTTAGGAGAAGAAGAAATACCTAAACAATTGGAGGAAGGAACAGACAGTGATGGTAAAGAGCAGAATGAACTGGCAGCACACTCATGCCTCCCTCCTAAAGACCAGGGCATTGATGCCTGTGTGCAAACAATCCAGAATTTTTATTCCCAAAATACTCTTTCAGCTTTTCTATAGCAGCACTTTTCAGAGTTTTCCTGAAATGTTATGTATAAAATGAAGTTTTCTAAGTTAAAGCATTTGACATCCAACAGGAGCACTTTTTAGTTAAAAATAATAATAATAATACTGCTAGGTGCAGTGACTCACACCTGTAATCGCAGCACTTTGAGAGGCCAAGGTGAGAGGATTACTTGAGCCCAGGAGTTTGGGACCAGCCTGGGCAACATAACAAAACCCTATCTCTATAAAAAAGTAGCTGGGCTTAGTGGTGCGTGCGTGTAGTCCCAGCTACTCGGGAGGCTGAGGTAAGAGAATCCCCTGAGCCTGGAGAGTTCAAAGCTACAGTAAGCCGAGATTGTACCACTGCACTCCATCCTGGGTGACAGAATAAAACCCTGTCTCAAAAGAAAAACAAACAAAAAAAAACTGATGGCTATACTTAGGAGTCAGGAGTCCGTTTGGTTTTCATGACGTATGTTAACAAAGCACACCATTTCTCTAGCTGAAATGTAGGATCTGCCCCAAGTTTGAAAATTAATAAATTTAACCAGAAAAGTAAAAGAATCAAGTTTTCAAGCTAAAATTGAATGTTTATGGTCAACCCAGCAATCATGTCTTACGAAAACATAAATATTCTTTAAATGTCAATGTGCAAAGGTATTGATGCATATATTTTACTCTAACCATATTAATACAGACTTAAAAATAGATGATGAACATGGTAAATACTGGTAAACTCTTCTGTTATGAAGAATTTTTAAAATTTCAGCTGCAGAGGCATGTATTGAATACAAGTTAGACACTGTGCAAGATGCTAGAAATCTTCCAATGAGTAAGATACTGGTTTAATAACCGTGTCCCTCTGATGTCAATTTAATACATCTCTGGAGTTAATGTCTTTTATTAAAAAGTTTCCGGAAATTTCAAATAGCTCACTATCATCACTGAAGAGTTGCAGAAATGTATCTTATTATTTTACTAAAAACATAAATTTCTATTCTGTGAAGCAGAAATGGAAGGAAAGGCCACTTCACTGTTTTTACATATCACTGTCACTTTCTGCAGAGTAACTACTTAAAACTGCATGGCGGCAGCAGCCACCCCACTGCTACCCAGCAGGTCACAGAGATGCAGAGACTCAAAAACATGCTATATATTGCTGTATATTTTAAGAGGCGCAGTAAGGAAACTCGAAATACCAGGGCCTCCAGAGCTAAACAGGAAGCAAGATAAGACAAGTGAGCTGCCACAGGCAGAAGGCAGCACCTGGAGGTTCCCCCAAAGCTGGCGCCTCCGACAGCAGGCACAGGCTGCTGCTTGCTTGCTTGCTTGCTTCTTTGCTTGGCCACGGCATGTCTTCAGAGCTGGAAGGCTGCCACCTGCTGAATCACCAAACATCCCTGGGCTTCCCTTGGAGCACTGACCAGACAGGCACCCATCCCCCGCAGCCTTCGCCCGTGGACGTTTCACACCCCGACCAATGAAACGCCCCGCCCTCTCCCCTTCTGCACAGGCCAAAACAGCCGCCAACCCCTTTCCATCTGGGCAGCTCTAGGCAACACCCATCGCGTTCCTACGTCACCAGTCCCACTCCTCTCCTTCGGCCCACTCAGTCCCCCCTGAATGTTTCAACCCCCAGTGCCAGGAAGCGTGGGGAGTTCACAGCACAGCACATCAGACATTCGCCACTTCCACATCCAGGGAGCCAACTAGAAACATCCCCAAACCTAAAAGCAAAATAACCTGTCCAAACAGCTTTAAAGGTCCAGGAAGATAAATGTCAAGGGAGCTAAAATAGTCGACAGGCCCCAGAACATAGAAAATAAACTTCCCTTTCAGAAAGCAGCCTTCACTTGGTTTCGTAAGCGTGTACCGCTGAAGTCTGTACTGTTTGAAGGTGAAAAGAAACATCTGAGAAGCACCTGCCTGGATTCTCTTCGCTCCCTCCGGCCATGACAACCCTTATCCCGATTTCTACTTCGCGGCACCAAAGAGGAAAGCAGCATTCACCAGAACGCTCCAGGCTGAATCCGTTAGCTGGACTAGGGCACTCTATCCGGCCCACGGGAGGACGCCACAAGCCCGAGTTCGGGTTAAGACGGTGGGAGAGGCAGCCGCTGCTGCTGCTGTTTTGCCCTTGACACGTCGCTGGGGGATAGCGCAGACCCCCTCTGTCACGGAAAAGCGGCGTCCTGGAGAGACTGTCCAGTTCTGGGCTGCGCCGATTCCCCTCCAGGCCTTGCCCCTAAACGTCCCCGCCCCGCGGGGGCAGCCCTGCGGGGTCTCAGAGCCGCCCGCGAGCCTGGCGGGCTGTTACGCGGCCTGGAGAGAAGGGGAGCGCTCCTCGGGGAGGGGGGGTCCCACCTGTTTTGTCGTCAGGGGGCATCGAGGGGCTACGGTGGGGGGATCCCGAAATAGTGGGCGCCTGGCCGGCTGCGATCTGGACCGAAGGTACCAACTGTCACACCGCCACCTAGGCTGTGGGGGTGGAGCCGTGATTGGAGTCGGCCCCTGGGTGGGGGTCTCCGGACCCCGGGCGGGCTACTGCCCAAAGGCTCCCCGCCTCCCGATCGCCCCAATCCGACACCAGGCAGCCTTCCAGCCCGCACGCAGTAGCTCTGAAAAGGTGCCCACTGACGCCTCCTCCTTCCTCCCCGCCCCAACTTAGCCGGGGAGCCCCGCCGGCGGCCCGCCCCCTCCGAGCCCGGATCCCGGCCGCCGGACCTCCCCGCTGTGACCACCCACGGGAGCAGCAGCTCTGGAGGACTGCCCGCCAGGTACGCGCGCGGCACCGCGCGGGCTGCGCTCACGCCCCCTCGCCCCAGAGCAGCCCGCCCGCTGCTCCCCGGCATAAGGCCGGGCCCGCGAGACAGGTGTCCGATCGGCCCCCGCAACCGTGAGGCCGGCTGTCTGTCCCTGCCCCACGACTCACTTGCACTGGAGTCACGGCAGCCGCCGGAATTCCGCTCGCGGAGCCCCCGCCGCGGAATGAAATCCGGGGCAGGGCAGCGTCGGGGCTCCGCACCCCAATCGCGCTCTCCGACCGGCTCCCTAGGCGCGAGGGGAGAGCAGTCAGCCCAGGCCGGTCCTTCTCACTCCCGACCTGCCCGCCGCCTGCCGCCCGCAGCCGCTGCCCCGCTGGTGCGAACGCTTTCGACTTGCCACCGCGAGCCTCCCGGGCTGCCGAGCATGCCCAGTCCGCTGCCCGAGCCGGCCCGGCTTCCCGCGCGACGCGACTCCGCTCCTCCGGGTGTTCACTGCGGCCGGGGGGGCGGGCCGGCCGGGCGGGGTCCGCGGGGGGCTCCTCCCGGGACCGAGCGGGACCCCGAACCAAGGGACAGTCGCAGTTTGGGCCCCTTGAATTTTACTTTCAAGTAATGGGAAACTGAGGAGGCGGGCGCTTTCCCCAGCGTTTTTAGGGGCCCACTAAGTAAGGCCTAGCGGGAGCCAGATTTTACAATCTGGGACGGTAAATCCCTTGGGGCAGGGCCGGAGACGGGAGCCGCTAGAGCTGGTCACAAAGCAGGGAACGCAAACTCAGCCTGCTGGAAGCCAGGCACGAGTTTGCGAACTACTACTGGATTCTTTTTCCCACCAAGCCCAAGGGCTGCGACACTTGGGATTAATGCCCAATGGATCATTCCTAGGAAACGGCCGACCTGACTATTCGGCCCATTTTCAAACCTCTAACCATAGACTCTCATCTTTCTCCCACAACAGAAAAAAAAAGCCTCTGGCGACGCCTGGGAGCGCGACGGAGGCGCAAGAGCTCTAACCGCGCGAGGTGAAAACTCCGACTGCGTCAGAGCCGCCCCGCCCCGCCTGGGGCCCACCTTCCGCCGCCCCTCCGAGCTGCGGCGAAAACCCGGAGAGCGGCTAGGCCGGGGTCGGAGCCCGCGCATGCCCAGTAGCCCCACGTGGTGCAAGTCGCCTGAAGGAAGGTTTTCCTCTGCTCCCCGAGCGAAGCCCCAGCGCCCAAGTTAGGATGGACAGCGGGGAGAGCTGGCCTTCCCGCCCCGATGCCCGCCGTCCCTGGCCGGCCCGCGCCGCACCTCGGTGGCCTACAGGCAGCCCGAGGCCGTGCCTCCCGCGGGGTCGGGGACTTGGCGAGCGGGGGAAGGGGCGCGGCTACGGGCCCGGCGTACCACGTGACTGTCCGCGGCGCTCCGGGCAGCCATCTTCCGCCCGGCCATCGGGCCGCGGGCGCTCGGAACCGACCTGGGAGCTGGCGGGACCGTCCTCCCCCGCCACGCCCTCCCATCGGGCTTTGGGCGCCGGACTCTGGCCACCGCTCGGCACCTGCCTCCGCCTCGCCTTGGGGTATAGGAGTCCTGTACCGACCCCTGGCTTGCCCAGAGGACAGGTTCTCGCCCGGGCCAGAAGCAAACTGCGGCGAAATCGAGACAACAGAACTCAGGTGGCGGAGGGTCCCCGCTTTTCCCCAGAGGCGGAAGTTGGCGAGGGAGTCCTCTTCCGTTATCCAGCGAGAGCGCTGCTCTGGCTGCCTCCCGGTTCTAACCTAGTCCCTGCAGAGGAGTGATGTACCGGCAGGGACATTGGACAGAGGCCGTGCTCTTCCCTGCAGCGCATACCCCGCGGCCCCTGCTGGTGGGCCGCTTCGATGGTGCTGAGGTTCATAGTGAATATTTATTGAGCGCCTGCCTCGAGTCCCTTGGGTTTCCTGTTGTCTCGGGACCTGCCGCGTCACTATCACCCTAGAATTTGTTAGAAATGCACGTTTTCGGCCCCACCTAGACCTACAGAACCAGAAACTGCGGGTGGAGTCCTGCAATATGATTAACAAAGCCCTCCGGGTAGTTGTCATGGACGCCTCTATATTTCAGCTAAGCAGTCCATTTTAATAAGCTAGGCAGTGAAAATTTCCATAGTTTTCCCCAAAGCACAGTGAGGAGTCAGGGATTCAAAATGAGGCAATCTGCCCCAATGCAGGCGTTTTATTGCACCCTCCACTCCTGGCTCCTCTGGTTTTTTCGCCCGTAAGACACAGTACTGCTCTTCTCAGGAAGATTAGGAAAGTACATTTGTCACATACGCTTTTCAAGCACGGCTTTAAAATAACAACTGAAATTCAGTTCAACTGCATGTTTTGAGTATCTACTGGGAGCAAGGCTCTGTGAAGTATAGTAGCCCTACTGGTTATGTTTATCAGTTTGCACCTAAAAGGTGAAAGGAAGGCTTGCTTTCTTGTGATGTAAATTTTTTCAAACTAAGGGAGTGCCAGAAAACTGCTGGCTGCTTTCTCTCCCGTGTTGGTTTCTCTCCAGTGCTATCCAGAATATGCTGTAAGCTCTGGACTTCCTGAAACAAAGGTCCAAGTAAGCATCTGGTCTTTGATGTACTTTAAAATGCACCCCACCCCCACATGAAAGATAACTAAATTTTTCAAAATATTAATACTTCTTGAATGTAAATCGTGTGTCTAAGGTACTGGCATAATTTTTTTTTTCAAATTTTCTATATGTTTGAAATGTTTCATAATAAAATCCTTTTAAATTTTTTTCCATGTGTAATTTTAGGATGATATATATATAGCACATGGAAAAAAGCAGGGCATAGAAGTATTTCCACTTTAATTTCAGTTTCATAAAATCAGAGAGAAAAAGTCATAGATATATACACCATACATAAAAAATAAAAGCGTAAATAAATACAGAAAGAAATCTAAAGAGAAATCACCATAGCAGTAAAAGTAAATTCTGTGTGAAGTGGTTATAAGAGACACTAAGAGTTGCCCCTCCTTGAAATTATATTTAGTTATGGTCCTTAAGTCACTATTATTTGTAACCAAAAAAAAAAATTGAATAAAAATAGTTCTCCCTCTTTAGTCCATCCAATCCTAAAGAATTTTTATCAGTGCCCTTTCTTTTTCTTCAGAGTCACTCTGTCACCCAGGCTGGAGTGCAGTGGCACCATCACAGCTCCCTGCAGCCTTGACTTACAGGGCTCCAGTGATCCTCCACCCTCAGCCTCCTGAGTATCTGAGACCACAGGTGCAAGCCACCATGCCCAGGTAATTTTTTATTTTTGGCCGAGGCTGTTTCATCATGTTGCCCAAACTGGCCTTGAACCCCTGAGCTCAAGTAATCCACAGGCCTCCGCTTCCCAAAGTGCTGAGATTACAAGCATGAGCCACTGTGCCTTGCTTACCAGTGTATTTCTTAGGAAAATTTTAATAAACATCATATTGTTGGATTGTAAAATTTTTGGATTCTCAAGTACTCAGAATATCATGAATTACGTTGCTGTCAAGACAACTAGGAAACAAAAGTGAATCACCTCCAAGTCACAATCTGTCATTAGAAATCTTGTTAAAAATAATACTAAGAGCAAATACTGAAGCAAATGCTTCACTTACCAAAACAGCTATTCTGAAGTAGGTGGTTTGGTTCCAAATGAATGACTTTTCTACCTTTAGAAGGTAAACTACCTGATTTAAAATGTGGTTTTATTCAGTGGACCTTTCAGCAGTAGCCATCACTCACCATTGAGAAGGTGGGCTTCTCTCACCACCTTAATCTCTGTAGGTCTCTTTCACCCTCTAGCATACATCTTACTAAGGCATCTAAAGTACTTACTACTTCGTACTCATGGGATCCAATGATGCTCACATAATGTCATCAATAGAGTGGACCAGTGTGATGTTTTGTGGAATGTCAGAACAATCAAGATCACTTCAGACTATTATGGCAGTGAGCAAGAGAACTAATGGAGCCCGTGGCAACACTGGGAAGACATATTGTTGGCCCTGTTGGGTAACAGCAAATCACTTCTGATGGACCTTGCAAATTGGTATGGAGGAAAAGGCATTAGCCAGGTAAATAAGTGCATACCAAATGTCAGATCTGCCCCAGGTGCATACCAATGTGTTAATCTGCCCCAGTAAAGGTACTACTTCTGGGAGAGCAGCTGAAATTGGAGTCCCCATCTGATTACATTTATGACATTCCACAGTCATTCTTCAAGATCCATTTGTCTTCTGCACAGTCTAAACTGGGGAATTAAATGGGAGATACTATAGGTATCACTACCAACCACCTGTAGTCAAAGTTCAAATAGTGCTCTGGAAGCAAGGAGACTTTTGTTTCTATCCATGGAAATTTGTCTCAATGTGATCCAGAGCCACGTAGCCTGAATAACAGGAGCAAGACCTTAGGAGCCCCTGCTTAGCTCTTTAAACTCTTCTGGCCAACCTGGGTTCCAAACCAAGGCTAACCAAAAAAGCTAGTCGAAGACAACAAAGGTCATTCCAAGTATTGGCCCCGAGGCTTAGATCTGATAATACTCAACATTCTGTGCTCATTCCTGTGTACCTGGCTAGGATTCCTGGCTTCAATAACTGCTTGGCTTCTATTCATTGACAAAAAACTTGGAATTTATTTGAAGATACCAGGGTAGATCAGGGATGCAGCTGAGCCTCGGGATGAGATGGAAACCAGGAACTGGAGTATTGAAAGGAACCCAGAAAGTCTCCCTCTGTCTCCTCTGCATTTCTATTTATTCTCTCCCTGTGGTTTCTGGCTTTTTTCCTTCAGTTCCATGAAATGACCACTTGAGAGCTCCCAAGTTTTTAATCTCTTCCAGAGAGTAACAAGAACAACCCTACCTATATTCATTAACCCTCTTGTCTAGTTGAATCCTATTTCCCCAGATTCCCACTGGCCACTTAATCTTACTAATATTTCAAGGTCCATCTCCAATTTCACCTTTTTTTGTATACAAATGTTCATAACAGCTTTATTTATAACAGCCCCAAACTGGAAACAACCCAAGTGTTCATCGGTAGGTCAATGGACAAATCTGTTCAATGAAGTGGTACTCAGCAATGAAAAACACAAAAACAAAAACTCTTGACAAATGCTACCACATGGATGGATCTCAAAATAATTATACTGAGTAAAATAAGGCTGACCAAAAAACGGATACATATTGTATGATTCAATTTACATAGAATTCTAGGACATGCAAACTAATAATGGGGCAAAAGGGCACTTGGGGATGATGGGTCTGATTTTCACCTTGATCGCAGTGATAGTTTTACGCAGGGTATACATATGCCAACACACTGTACACTTTAGATATGTGCAGTTTATCAGCGGTCAAGTATACCTCAGTAAAGCTAAAATAAAAATATTAATGGGCTCCACATTCTGGAGACACTGGCAGTAGAACTATTATTTTCAGCTTGAAATATTAGCTACACTTTGGTAAAAATACTTTTGAATTTTATCTTCACAGTTGTAGCAAGGAAACCAAAAGGTATAAACATTCACTGATTGAAAAACAATGTCATAAAGTCATCCCAGTATCTGTGAGGAGTTGGTTCCAGGACCCCTGAGGACACCAAAATCCTCAGATGCTCAAGTCCCTGATAAAAAAATAAAAGGTACAGTATTTGCGTATAACCTCCCCATATCCTCCTGTACACTTTAAATCATCACAAGATTACTTATATTACCCAATACAATGTAAATGCTGTGGGAATAGTTACACTGTATTATTTAGAGAATAATAAGAAAAAAAGTCTGTACATGTTTGGTACAGATGCAGTTTTTTCTTAAAAATTGTTGATCAGCAGTTGGTTGAATCCACAGATGTGGAACCCACAAATACAGCAGGCTGACTGTATATACTAAGAAAAATTACAAAGTGAAAATGAGGAATTCTCATTCTGTAAATGAAACCAAATCTAACACATTTCTCAACAATGAATAAAACCACTTAAGAGTCAAATATTTGGTGTCTGACAGCCATCTCTCTCCTGCATGTTGATGTGGTCTACAGCAGTGGTGCCCTCGGGTTCAAAAACCTGAACGGTGGTCTTCAGTTGTTCCCCCAAGCTCCTCTATCAGAGGCCCAGACACTCCAAGAGGCTGGGAAGAGGCAAGTGGCTTTCCCTGACTGGCATCAGACTCCTGGATGGCTGTGTTTCTGCATACTCCACCATCAACAATCAGAAGGGCACTGCTTTCTTCAAGAAGGGGACCTTGCAAAGAACTGTCTCAGATGGACTATCTTTGAGTTCATCTTGTTCTGAATGTGAGTCTGAGTCTTTGTTTCCAGATGACACAGTGCTGTCTGAGTCCTCTGAATCACCTGCCTCAGAGCTGCAGCAAAGTTTCTGCTGCCCAGAAACTGAATGGGCTGCTTGTAATGCAGATTCTTCCTCCTGGACAAGAAGTGCTGCTGCTTCTAGTTCTTCCAGTTCTAACCCCAACTGGGCCTTTGTAAGGGAGACTTCCTTTAAGGCTTCTGCAAGAGCTGCCAACGTTTTGGATTTGACTTTCTGAGTCCACACACAGTAGTATGAGATGTAGAGATCATTCAGTATGTATGCTGGGTCGTTTTCCTGAAAAATTTTGTGAATATCCAGGAGACACTTTAAAACTGCACTTTTACTTAATTGCAGTATCTTTATAGTCTCCCCGTAGGCCTTCATCGCCAGTTTGAAATGGCGATAGAGCAGGTAACACAATACCCTTCTTCCAAAAGACACCATGATATCATGAACATTAGTCCAAGTCTCAAACCAGCATAGTATTGGACTCAAGTTTCGTGATATTCCATGCAGATTCAACGTTCTTGTCTCCTTCAGTGACACGGGTTTCTTAGCAATATGCCAGAAGGATATCAATCGAACTGTAGTACACTTGACGACAGGCTCTGTTGTCTAGCAGATAAGATTTATTGACAAATTCTTGTAGCTGATATTTCTCTTCTTCAGAAAAAGACACTAATGCAGCATGATTTTCTTGCTTCTGACTCTTTTCCAAAAAGGCCGTCATTTTTTAATATTTGTCAGTCCACCAAGGATTATACTTCAAAATCTGTTCAACTGCCTCATCTTCAAAAAAGTCAGCTAGATAATGATCAGGATCAAACTTGGCCAGCTCGGCGGCCAGGTGCTTTTGTTTTCGTTCTGCTGCAGGGATGAAATCTGGATCCTTAATAACATCACTCAATTCATCCTGTAACTGCTGAAACACTCCTGATCGTAAGTTTCCAAACCCATAGTGGCATGAGGATTCAAAGCACTTTCTGTTACCTCTTCATAGGGTGTCTGCTCAATTTCCCAATCAAACTCTTCATCGTCAACTACTTCCTCAGGAATTTCAGAATCACCTATTGCTTCCACAAGTGGTTTTGCTGTCCCGGATTTTCCTGGTGCCAGAAGAGCAACACATGTTCAGCCCCTCAAAATGCTGGCCAGGGGTTTCTCTGGGCAGGCGAGTGGTAAAAATTCCTTTATCTGCATCATAGGACCCTTGCTCGCTTCCGTATCCATATTCTACAATTCTTCCAGGAGGGGTTAATCTGAGAAAGTACGGCTTGGCATAGTAGTCTAGGCCGACCCCTCGAAGTAGACGTTGAACTCGGAGGCCGGGGCATAGGGCACGCGGATGGCGATGGTCAGGAAATCCGGCTCCTGGCTGAGGCTGAACGCCGGGGTCAGCATCGCGGCACCAGACGCAGGGGCCAGCGCGGCTCGCCCTCGCTGCCGCGGCGGTCCCACCAAGCAACTCTCTCCAATTTTACCTTTTTAAAATAAAAGATGTCTGGGCCAGGCGCAGTGGCTCACGCTTGTAATCCCAGCACTTTGGGAAGCCGAGGCGGGTGGATCCTGACCTGAGGTCAGGAGTTCAAGATCAGCCCCGCCGACATGACGAAACTCCGTCTCTACTAAAAATACAAACATCAGCCGGACGTGGTGGTGGGCGCCTGTAATCCCCACTACTCGGGAGGCTGAGGCAGGAGAATCACTTGAACCCGGGAGGCAGAGGTTGCAATGAGCCGAGATCATGCCACTGTACTCCAGCCTGGGTGACAGAGTGAGACTCTGTCTCAAAAAAAAAAAAAAAAAAAAAAAAAAAAGTCTGTCTTCCAGGACACAGAAGCCTCCTATACACACATTTTGGCACTTGATTATGTTATGTCTTTTACAGTTCTCTGCATGTTTCTTGCAGGTAAGTCTTGATTCTTCAATTACATATTAAATTTCTATTGAGGATATATATCTAGCTTTCATCTTTCAGAGTACCTAGCATAGGACTTGGCACCAAGTAGCCCATAGTAAACAGTTATTCAACCATAATGTATGATTTTCTTTTCTACTTTTCACTGGTATGTTTTTGTTTAAAAAGGGTAAACCACCAGGGATGGAAATGTCCTTGCTATGTTATCCTTCTTCTCTAATTAGCAACCACCCTTCACAATCTGCCACATTACATTTAAAAAGGATTTTCAAATTAGACATTTATGCCTGGGCATTAACCAGGGACTGATGAATCAGTGCCATCAGCAGAACACTGCCCTGACTGGCAGACATGGCACCATTGTCAAGACTTGTAATTTACTCCTGGCTTTTCAAATAGTCAGTGTGTAACTCCAGGCAAGGTTTAATTATCTCCTGTTAAAATGGGAATAATATGACCCACCCCCACTTTGCTTCCCATGGGTATCATGAGAATTAATTAATTATTGAATAAGAATATATGTCTATAAAATATTTTATAGTTCATTAGAGGTAAACAAATGCAAACGTAAGATATTGTTCAATGTATTATGAATGTTCATTGTTGCTGTATTTAGTACAAAGTACCTGTATTATATCAACAGTGGTAGTACACAAAATAATGAATACATGTTGGGTCAGCACCTCCTCCAATTACCACTTGCAAACAAGTCCTGGATGGCCAGAACTAATTGGAAGGTTGAGACAAAAATTATATCTCGCACACTAAAGAAGGGGAGATTGATACAGCGCGCTCACCTAAATTTCGTAGTGCCTTCATGAACTCTTCAAAAGCTTCAAATCTAGGCTAGGCTACAGGAAGAACAGCAGCAACTGAAGACTGGCACCTTTTCTGGAACCTCAGCAGCACCTTCCTTGTTTCGTAAGATTTCGAAGAAGCATATCAAAATTCTTCCACCCATTCCTTCACAGTATAATAGGAGAAAACATCTATCCTCCGTTGACACCTGGAAGAATGAGATTCCAACTCACTCCAGGACATGGCCAGAAAAATTCAACAAAAGATTTGCTAAATCCTCTGCACTATTATCTAGACCAGGATTTCTCAACCTCAGCTCTGTGGACATTTGGGCCAGATAATTCTTTGTTACCAGAGGCTGTCCTGTACATCATCAGGTGTTTAGCAGCATTCCTGGCCTCAACCAAATGGATGCCAGTAGCACCTCCCCCACCCACTTGTGACAGCCAAAGATATCTCCAGACATTGCCAAATGTCCCCTGTTATGGAGAATCATCCTCAGTTGAGAATCACTGGTTTAGGCAATGATCAAAGTGGGGCAACTAAATCAAAAGGCACTGCAATCTTAAGTTGATCAAGCATCCTTCTTTGAAATCACTCAGCACTTTCATATATTGCATTTATATCTTAGGTATTCATATTCTAACAATTCAGCCAATGTTTTTTGAGTTCGCAATGGACAAGGTACAAGATCAAGTAAGTAATTCTGTGTATCCATAAAACAGAAATGGATATGGTATGTCCCAGTTCTCCACAGTAGGCATTTATGTTATTCCCATCCCAATATTTAGCCCTGATCAGGGTTGTCAAACATTGCATGGGACATACTTATCCTAAAAAATTATTCATTATTTATCTGAAATTGAAATTTAACTGGATGTCCTATGTGTGTGCATGTGTATGTTTGTTTGTTTGTTTCTTTTTCTAAATCTGATTACCCTATCCTAACAGACTCAAGGTTTTTTCCCTGTTCCACAAACTTTATGACTTGACTTCATTAAAAATAATAAAGAGGAATAACTGCAAAGGCTTTAAAAATGCTGTTAGAATGAGTAGCACAACTGAATTTGAGGATACATTTTCTTTGAAGGATGTCTATTTTCCTACTGAAAATAGTGGCAAACTCCTTAGAACTCATTCAAAGCCTGATGGGATTCATTGCCTGATTTATTTAAAAACACTTCTGATGCTCACAGACTATTTATCATTTACACAGCAAATGATGTTCTTCTAGTATTCTTGTTGGGTGAGTTAGCATTGTGGAAGGACATAGAGGAGAATCAGACACAAACTTCTTATAACCTCATAAACAGGAAGAAAGGGAGCAGAAGCATAGACTGACTTTACTTTCACTCAGCTTACCTTCCTAGTTCTCCAGGTGTGGTCCTCAGAAGAGGAATATCATGTGACCTGGGAACTTGCTAGAAATGCACATCCTTGGGACCCACCCCGGACCTACTGAATCAGAAACTCTGAGAGTGGGTCCTAGCAACCAGTGTTTTCACAGGCCTTCCAGGTGATTCTTCCGCATGTTCGAGTTTGAGAACAACTGCTTTAGAGCCCTGGTTCTTGACCCTGGCTACAGGGTAAAACACCTGGGGAGTTTTTAAAATACTGATGCATGGGGTCCATTCCAAGGGAGTCTGATATAATTACTATGGGGTGCAGCCCAGGCGTAAACATTTTTTAAAAACTCCTCAACCAGAATAACGGCTCTACAGAAATTTTATCAAATGCCAAAGAAAGAGTTCCTTATTTTGCAACTATAGTGCTTTCTACTCTGGCCCTAATCAACTTTCATAAAGGCAGAATGGACAGACATTACGTGTTTTAATTTGAAGACTACCAAAAGGCCGGCCATTAAACTAGGTATATGGGCTCGTCCTCAAATCCCTAAATCTACTCCTTAGGACCTACTATAGCCAGTGTCATATAATAGAAAAGTCACTTATTGTCCACCAGACCCTGCCCTAATATTTGATAACCTCTTGGGGCCTCATTTTCTTGTGTCTACACTGGGGATGATATTAACTCTTCACAGGATTTGGGGAATTATAAAGAAAGACCATGTAGTAAAGGCAGGAAGATCAATAATCAATAATCACATCAGAACCTGAAGGGACTTCGTACCATTGAAGTGAGGCAGAGGAGAGAGAAATTTAGAAGGACAAATTCACAAATTTCAATGTGTTTCTATAATAACTACTTAAATTATTTTCTCTTTGAATTGCCTCACTGTTGTGTGTGTATGTCCCCACTCCCACCTGTCCCATTATTTTCCTGTTTTCACTTGTACCTTGGCAACCCATCTGTGGTTTTGGCCAAGCTGTTTTAATGGCATTGAACCTGGTAGTTTTTTTAAAAGAGTGTGGTAGTAGTTATATATGGCTCGATAACTCCTGGGGCTACAACAAGGTTAATGCGACAGTTTTTGTTGTTTAAAAAACATGCTTGTCTGACAAGTCAATCATTTTAAGCCCCTTGTTCACTTCAGGATGGTTGCTAAAGGCTTCTCTGTGAGCTAAAAGCTCTCGCTGTTAAGGGGCTGCCTGCCCTGACTGTATGCATTAAATGGAACAGTTCTCTACATGGTTTCTTACTACAGATGCCTTGGGATATATGGACACTGGCATTACCTGCTGCAACAGGTCCTCTCCCAGGGTACTGCTGAGACCTAAGGGCTTAAATGCTCACCAAACCAAGTGACCTTGGAGGGCTGGTCATGGTGGGCATCTGGGAGCTGGGAAAGAGCATTGGAGAACTTCATAGGGAAACCTAGTAGGCAAAAATGAAAGAACCCATAAGGGCCATTGGCATGAGCCATAGCTAAAGGCCACTGGGTTAGCTCTCAAAGAAAACTGCAAGATTGAAGCATAAATTCCTTCATCATGAACCAGAAGTCATGGAGTGGAGCCAGGGGCAAGAAAGAGAAAGATGAAGAGGTAGAACCACCAGGATAAAGGTGCCAAGAAAAACAGTGAGAGCAACACTCAGGGAACCAGAGACAGGAACACAGCTGGGAACTAGGAGGAGAAACCACCACAGCTGGAGCGCAAAGTGGCCAGGTCAGAAAAGCCTCATGGAATCCTGGTTAACTGAATGTTTCTATTGACTGAGGCCACTGCTTAAGCCCTGTATTCTTTTTTATTTCAATCCCCATGGTTAGAAAAATAGTCCTAAAATGGGTTCATACCCTTTCCTATCCTGCAAGATCTTAAACATCACTATCTTTTCCTGCAGTAGTTAAAAGCATGGGCTTTGGAATCAGAAACTGGGCACAAATCTGAGCCCTGCTACTTATTAACTGTGTAACATTGGTCAAATGAATAAACTTCCTGGAGCCTCAGTTTCCTTGCCTGTAAAATGTGAGTAACAATACCAACTTATTTTCAGGTTGTGAGCATTTCTCCATAATAATCCACATAAAACACTTACCAGAGCCCTTGGCATACTGTGTGAGCATGTAATAATGTTAGCTGTCATTCCAAGACAACATGTTGGAATAATCTACTTTTTCCATCACTATATATCTCATTTTCCTTCTTTTTCTTCTCCCTCAAACCTGTCCCCATTCCAACAGATGTTTTGGCCTGTGTTCCTAGCCTCCAGTGACAGCAGAAAGCCTGTTAGATTTCCTGCCTTTGTTTCCCAAAATTTGAGCCCCAAGAAACTGGGACAAGATATTTTCCTGAGACAAGATATCTCAGGAAGGGGAATGAGTGGAGCTTCTTTTCACCCCACACTAGAAAGCCATTCTGTTTAGAAAAAGGAGACGGAAGGGAAAGAAAAGGGTGCTATACCAGTTTTCCAGTATCACCGTCAGGGAGAAAGCAAGGCCGGAGAGTATCTGGGCAGATGTAACTATAAGCAGCCTAATAAAGGTTCCCAAGTCCAAACCATGAATCCAAACGGCAGAGCTGCCAGACATGAAAGGCCTTGCTGCCCTTCCACCCCACAATACTTCACCTCTGGAAGCCTTGACAATTCCAGGGAGTATTTGCAAAACCCTGCCCCCACCCAAAATTTTTAAAATACTGCATATGAGTGAGTAAAATGATGCCGAGATTTTTAAAAGGACAAGCTTACCATCAGATAGGTAGAATGAGTAGTAGTGGCAGCGGTGGTGGTAGTGATATAGAGATAAAAGAGTTAAGTGGAGTTACTGAAATGTGTAGTTATATTTCTCACACTCTGGTGTTTGTGGATTTGTGGGCTGAGATTCTTATCAAATTCCGGAACTTGCAATGTCTCAAGGTAATTGTTTAAAATATTAATTGTTTTACTCACACTGCAAATGTTGATATAGATGCTGGGGTGGAGGTGGGGCAATAGGCCAGAATAAGCCCAAGAATACCTTGGAATTTGCTGAATTTCTTTCTTTTTGCATAATCTTATTCACACATTAACATAATATGAACCACTCTGGCTCCATGAGCAGCACAGAAGAGACTTTCTGCAAATGTGATTATTAGGGCAAAAGTTAGGAGATTTTTTGCCCCCAGCTTTTCTCCTCTCCTAAAATCTTTTTTTTTTTTTCATTTCTTTGTCAGTGTCTTTAATTTTTTTAGCTGCATTTAAAAGGCTTTCTATTATTTCTGCATGAGTAAGAGCATGTGTCATGTCAGCCTCCTTGTCAGCTTCTGTTTCACTTTCATTAAATTTGTTGATTGAGTGTAAAGAAGGAGGCACTGTCATCATTTCCAGATTTCATAGCTGTAGGTTAGATCTCTCTCGGAGCAATGCCATGATTACTGCTGCAATTTTGTAATGGAGCCCTGGAGAGACAGGGATGAAACCAGGGAAGGCTCCTTATCCCTTTCGTGGGTCCAGGGAGGCAGAAAGAGAGGGGAGGAGGATGTTTCTGTTTCACCTCTATTCATTCATTCATTCATTTGCTTCACAAATATTGAGCACCTCCTGAGTGACAGACACTGATTTGGGTGCTGGAAAGCATAAGCAGCCCTGGTGCCTGTCCTCACAGAGCCTATGGTCTGCTGGTGAGACGGACTTAATCAGATAAACACACTAATGAATGTATAGTTGCACCAACAGATCCTCATTTAATTGAGCTGGACTAGGACCTAGGCATCAGTATTTTTTTTATAAGCTTCATAGGTAACTCTGCCAGGCCTGGGAATCACTGGGCTAGACCATGCAAGTTCTAATCATATAGGCTCTACTCAAGCATTAAGCATTTTGATTTTATCTTTCAAGCTGTGGTGAAAACGTTACTGAAGAGAGGTGATATAGTAAGATGCTCACGGTTTTTAAAATTAAGCTTTTTTATTTTGAAATAATTATAGACTCATATGCAGTTGTAAGAAATAATACAGGGGAATCCCATATATCCTTTATCCAGTTTCCCCAATGGTAACATCTTGCAAAACTATGGTACAATATCACAACCAGGATATTGACCTTGGTGCAGTCAAGATAAAGCATTTTCAACACCACATGAATCCCTCCTGTTGTCCTTGGATAGCCCTCCCCACTTTACTCCTGGTGACCACTAATATGTTCTCCATTTCTATAATCTTGTCTTTTCAACAGTTATATAAGTGGAATCATATAGTATAGAACCTCATGGGATTGGCTGTTTTCTCTCAGCATCATTTTCTGGACATTCATTCAGGTTGTTTCACGTGTCAATAGTTTGTTCCTTTTTAGAGGGCTGACTAGCGGTGTTCCATGTATAGGGGTGCCATAGTTTGTTTAACCATTCACATGTTGAAGGACATCTGGGTCTGCTCCAATGTTCAGAGATTTTAAATAGAGCTGCTATACACATTTGTGTATAGGTTTTTGTGTGAACATGAAGTCTTTGTTTCTCTGGGATACATGCCCAAGTGTGCAATTGCTGAGTTATATGATAGTTGCATGTAGAAACTATCATGCATAAAGAAACTGTCAAACTATTTCCAGAGTATCTGCACCATTTTACATTCTCAACAGTAATGTACCAGTGATCCAGTTTCTCCTCATTCTCATCAGAATTTAATGTTGCCACTGTTTTTTATTTCAGCCATTCTGATAGGTATGTGGTAATTGCTTGTTGTGGTTTGCTTTGAGTTTCTCTAATGGCCAACGATGCTGAACATCTTTTCATGTGCTTAGTTGCCATCTGTATATTACCTTTGGTGAAGTGTCTCTTCATGTCTTTGGCCTATTTTCTAATTGGATTATTAGCCTTAATGTTGAGTTTTGAGAGTTTACTTTTATATTCCAAATACTAGTCCCTTTTGTCAAATATGGGGTTTGCAATTTTTTTCCCACTCTCCAATTTGTTTTTTATCCTGTTTACAGGGTCTTTCACAGAGCAAAGTTTTTTAATTGTGATGCAGTCTAATTTATCAGCTTTTCCTTTTATGGACCATATTTTTGGTGTCGAGTCTAAGTCGTCTTTGCTGAGTCCTACATCATGAAGATTTTTTCTTACTAAAATTTGATAGTTTTAAATGTTCTCTATTTAAGTCCGTGAGTTATTTTGAGTTAATTTTTGCATAAGGTATAAATCTTAGGTTGAGGCTCACTTTTTAATCTTAAGGATTGCTCAGCATCATTTATTGAAAAGGCTATCTTCCCTCCATTGAATTTCTTTTGTACCTGTGTCAAAACATCAGTTGCATATATTTGTGTGTATCAATTTCTGGGTCTTCTGTTCTGTTCAGTGGATCTATGTGTCTATTTCTCTGCCAATACCATATAGTTTTGACTATAGTAGCTGTATAATAAGTCTTGAAACCCTTGAAACCAGGTAAGACTGGTCCCTTTCATATTAGCCTTCCTTTTCAAAATTGTTTTAGCTATTCTAGTTCCTTTGCTTTTCTGTATACATTGTAGAATAGTGTTGTCTATATCTATTTTTAAAACTTGCTGGAATTTTTTTTTAAGAGACAGAGTCTTGCACTGTTGGCCAGGTTGGAGTACAGGGGTATGATCATAGCTCACTACAGCACCAAACTCCTGGGCTCTAGCAATCTTCCTGCCTCAGTCTCCCAAGTAGGTAGAACTACATGCAACTGCCACTACAATCGTATTTAAAAGTAAAGTTAAAAAAATTTTTTTTGAGAGAAGATCTCACTCTGTTGACTAGTCTGGTCTTGAACACCTAGCCTCCAGCAATCCTCTTGCCTCCCAAAGCACTGGAATTGCAAGAGTGAGCTACCAGGCCCAACCAGTATGTTATGTGTGCAGTTTTTTGTAGATATTATTTATTATGTTGAGGAAACTCCCCTCTATTGCCATTTTTCTGATAGTTTTTAAGATCATTCATGGGTGTTGAAGTTTGTCAGAGTCTTTCTGTATCCATTGATTGTTATGATCAAGAATTTTTTCTTTAGCCTGTTAATACGATGTATTAAATAGCTTCATTTTCAACTACTGAGCCAGCCTGAAATAAACCTCGCTTGGTCATGATATATTATTACATATGCTGCTGAATTCTATTTTCTCTTTTACTGGTCTTTTGGCTGGAGAGAGTAGGCTTTTGTTGGGGCTTTACTTGTACGTGCACATTGTTATTTCTGGGTTGTCAGCCTCCTTCTCTCCAAGTCTGGGATATATGGGACAAAAACATAATCCAGGGAGCCCACCACCTTGTTAGACTTTGAGTCCCTAGATCCCTAGGTGGTCTGGCTTCTTTTTTTCACCTTTGAAAATCTTATGTTTGTTTTATACATAATGTTGAGAGTTTTTCGTTGTTCTTAGTGGCAGAAGTATAGAAAGATACTCCATCTTCTCAAAAATAGAAGTTCAGATTATGTTTTGAAAGGCACTGTAGGCAGGCCAGGGAAGGCTTGTAAAAGGCTACTGCACTGGTCCAGGTGAGGGGAGTTAGTCTGGTAGAAGGCTGTTTCTTCCACCATTCTCCCCTCACATTCCACTGCCCCATTTGCATGGAGCTGGGGTTCTACTACCCCAGTAGGGCAGCAAGAGAGAAGGAGCAGGCAATATCTTGGAGCATTACACCATGATAAAGGGACACCAATACCCTCCAGATGCTAGCTGTTTCTTTCTAGAGCTTTTAAACATTCTCCTTCAGCAGAAGAAATAAGTCACTCCTGAAAGCATCCTAACAATGTGCATTTCTCCAAAGTTTCCTTAACACTTCACATTTAACATGACTCCAGGTATAAGCAACATTAAACAAGTCATATCTTATGTTACAACTTGAGTGAAACTTTAATGATGCTGAATTTGCTAATTTGCTCTGGTATAATGTATTTCCTGTTTATAATCCCTTTTGGCTAATAGCACTAATCAACAGAAAACACTGACAGACTGCACAATGGCAACAGTAATTCTGGACAGAGATAGTTTTATTATCTACAGATGAATCCATGTTTCTAAAACATTATTTACTATAATGTAAAATATGGGTTGGGCGTGGTGGCTCACACCTGTAATCTCAGCACTTTGGGAGGCTGAGGCGGGCAGATCACCTGAGGTCAGCAGTTCAAGCCTAGCCTGGCCAACATGGTGAAACCCCATCTCTACTAAAAATACAAAAATTAGCCAAGTGCAGTGGTGCATGCTTGTAATCCCAGCTACTTGGGGGGCTGAGGTAGGAGGATTGATTGAACCTGGGAGGCAGAGGTTGCAGTGAGCCGAGATCATACCACTGCACTCCAACCTGGGCAACAGAAGGAGACTCTATCTCAAAAAATAAAAATAAAAATAAAAATAAAATGTAGTAGATAAAGGTCATAATTTCTATGCACCAAAGCTTTTATAGGAGGCCTGTATTTTAGCAATCAACCTGTCCTTATTCTGTTCAAATTCAAGGGCACTTGAATCACTTTAGATGGTGTCACCTACATTGGGAAGCAATCACAGTATAGATATTTTTTCTTATTATGTTTGCAAAATAAACTTCACAAAATTGTCTAGCAACCTTGTGACCACTTGTTTTCTTTTATTGAACATAATAATCCTTTTAACACTTTAAGACTGCCATTTTCAAGAAAATAGCTATAAATTACATAATTGAATTTTATTTTTCTAAAAAATTGTACCACACTTTAGGATGAACAGTTGACCAAAGAAGGGCCTCTTTGCCATGTCTCTGAAAACATCTTGTATGAATACAGCCATTCCTAATGCTCCAGTATCAATGTCTCTATAATACATTAGTGTAAAGGTACCTCTTGGCACCAGCATAAGAGGAGATTGGAAGCCCTTTCTGAGCCCTGACATCATCCAACTTGGAGATGGGCATTTTTTACCCATGCATCTCCTTGCTTTGCCATTTGGCATCCAGTCATTCAAAAACATCCGGTGACCATCTACTCTTGGCATAATTCCAGATGTGATCCTTGTAGTCACGTTAGACCTTTTATTCACTTTTATCCCTCAACCTCTAGATCTGTTACACATTGTAGCAAACTCTTGTAAAATATCTAATGAAAGAAAGAAAAAAATTAAAGAATATTGAATAGCCAGGTAATATAATATAGAATCATGTATGTAGAAGTTTTATGATGTTAGGAAAAATTATTGGCCTTAAAAATTCGCCATTCATTTTTCAAACAGTACATAGTGTGCACAAGGTTCTTTGTCCTCAAACTTTTGGCAATACCAAAAGAGGCCTTTAATCTTAACAATAAGTGAGACTTGGTAGAAATCCCTTCGAGCAATCAGTGCTTGTCAAAGTTTTGTTCAACAATCATCTGTATGAGAAGCATCTAGGAAATTATTTAGCAATGAGGCTATTTGGGCTGAAATCCTTAAATAAAGAAATAATTGTTTTAACCAGGGGCAAGTTATGAATAAAGTTGAGCCATAAATCAAAAGGATGTTAACTGAAAAAGAAGTCTCAAAGCAGATGGTGAGAAAGTGAAGACAGAGAGCCTCTGCCCCAGTTCAGGAGGAATATTCCGGACCAAACACACAAAGGAAGCAGGTAAAGAGTGACTTCACCCGAGAGAAAATACAAACCTTTTCATTAGGGGAGACACCAAGCAAGAATGCCACAGTGTTAACAAGGGGTGGATGTTAACAGGTAAAATAACACTTTCCCCCAGATGAGCAGCCTGAGTTGATCTGCAGTTACAAAATTGCAGCCAGGTGTGGTTGCTCACGCCTGTAATCCCTGCACTTGGGAGGTCAAGGCAGGAGGATTGCTTGTGCCCAGGAATTTGAGGCCAGTCTGGGCAACATGGCAGAAACCCATCTCTACAAAAAGTACAAAAATTAGCCAGGTGTGGCATTTGCGCCTGTAGTCCCAGCTACTTGGGAGGCTGAGGTGGGAGGATTAATTGAGCCCGGGAGGTCAAGGCTGCAGTGAGCCATGATCGTGTCACTGTACTCCAGCCTGAGTGACAGAGCAAGACCCTGTCTCCAACAAACAAACAAAATAGACATCCAGCCAGGCACAGTGGCTCACACCTGTAATCCCAGCACTTTGGGCTGCCAAGTAGAGAGAATTGCGTCGTAGAGGGGAGGAATTGCTTGAGGCCAGGAGTTCGAGAACAGCCTGGGCAACATATGAAGGCCCCCGTCTCTACAAAAAATAAAAATAGCCAGACATGGTGGCATGCACCTGTCATCCTAGCTACTCAGGAAGTGGAGGTGGGAGGATCTCTTGAGCCCAGAAGTTGAAGGTTACAGTGAGCTATGATCACACCACTGCACTCCAGTGTGGGCTACAGAGTAAGACCCTGCCTCTAAAAAAAAATAAATAAAATAAAATAAAATGTAAATTAAAAGGAAAAAAGAGTAGACACCCTAAGCCCATGGGAAAAAATCTGGTATTGGAAACTGAGTGACAGACTCCTCACATTTAGGTAGAAAAATTGTTGAACTAAAATGTACAGCAGGTCCTTGAATAATGTCATCGTTCAATGTCATTTCATTATAAGGTTGATAAGAAAAATATCCATTTTCAGCAAGCGCCACTGTCTGAGTGGAGTTTGCACATTCTCCCCATGTCTATATCAGTTTCTTCCAGGTACTCCTGTTTCCTCCCATATCCCAAAGATGTGCCCATTAGGTTCATTGTTGTTTCCAAATGGTCCCAGTGTGAGTGTGGTTTTGTGTGAGCGCACCCTGTGATGGGCTGGTGTCCTGTCCAGGGATAGTTCCTCCTGCCTTGCACCCTGAGTGAGTTCTGGCCACCTGAGACCCTGAACTAGAATAATGGGGTAAATAATCATCTTAGTTGTTTTTATTTATCTTTCTTAAATATATGTATAGCTCACATTTATTTCAATGTTTAATATTAGAAGTGTTTTGGGGCTTAGGAACTTAACATTAGTTTATATCAATTAGCCTATGGTCAGATTGGTTTTGTTGTACATCATTTCACTTAAAGTTGCAGTTCCCAAGAACCTATTGAGGATGTTAAGTGAGGACTTGCTGTATTCATAATGCCAATTTTCTTTCACTTAGGTACAATTTGGTCAGGTATTAGGATTTGCCTCCCAGGCACTGTAAGTTAGATGAAGAAGGCTATTCTAACTGGAACATATATCTGTTACATAAGTGATATAAACAAAAATTGAATCGTTATTAAGCAAAATTCCATTTTTAAATAAAATGCTCTAATGATTAATCACGTTTATTTTCTTCAGTTATCTACATTGAAAGAGCATCACATTGGCTAGGTCTAAATAACTGTAAAGCAGCAGTTTGCAACCCTGGCTATATATTAGAGCCATGAGGGAAATATAAAAAGTACTCATGCCAGCTTAAGAAACTCTCATTTCATCAACAAAGGAAGGTCCAGGTTTGGGTATTTATTTTCTAGAGGGATATCACCATTCACTGGCTAAGTGAAACAGAATTGTTAGGTTTAAGAGGAAATTATCAGCAGCTGTGAGGTTGCCACTAAACTTAGAAACCTGTAAACCTTTAAAGTTCACAACCTTGGCTTCTTCTTTCAATCAATTGGGAGCTTGTAAAAATCCCAACATCCAGGCTGCACCTTAAACCAATTAAAACCTTTGGAGGAGGAATTTAGGCATTAGTCTTAAAATCTTTGTAGCTGAAATTGAGAAACACAGCTAATGGGTGGCTTTACTTTTAGAGATGTCCTACAAGAATTAGAAGAGCAGATGTTCAGATCTTTGGTTCTCATGAACACTGATCAACCAAAAGATTTCTTTAAATTTTTTGCTGAGCCTCATTGATTCAGTTCTGTTAGCTGCCATTCTTCAGCTAAAGTTTGTGAAAAGATCCTGGTTACTTAAGGGTACAGGTCATTTCAATAACTATAATTTGAGATAGTAACTATCTCTGGAGTCTCTGCTGCAAATTCATCAAGATTTGGTTGTGGCTAAGTTGTGAAGCACCATCATCTCAGCATTGACCCAAATTAGACCTTGGTAGGGAATTTTAAGACTATAATTTACTGCATCCTTGTGCAATTAAAGGATAGCACTCTCTATCTTATGAAATAGGCTGTAATGAATGGAAAGAGGTCTTATTTTAAACATATTGCTATATATATGACCTAATTAAATTTGCAAACAATTCGTTATTTTAAGGAACAACTAGCTATGTATAGCATTAAATCTATTATAGAGTCTCCATTTTTTAAAAGAAATATTTCTTTGTAAATAAGTGAAATTTTCTAATAGTACCAAGCAATTTGCCACAGGCATTGTTCTGAGTTGCTTTTGTTCTTTTCAAAGCAGTCAATACATTAAAAACCCTGAAAATCATTTTAAACCCAATTTATTCAAATTCACTAGCAGGCCATAAATACAGCTTTTTCTGTGAACAATAATGAAAACAAAAGAGCACCCCATTAAGTGAAGCTATCCAATGAAAACTTGGATTTCAAACTCAGAGAAAGGAAAACAGGGATAGAAATGCACTCCACTTTAATGTTTACCTTTAACATGGATGAGGAAACTGGGAAGTAAATCTAGATGACTCTGTGGCTTCCACATCCTGTGGGAGCCAACCCAGGTGCTTTAAGTCTCTCTTTCAACCTGCTGTCCTTTCAGGAGCTGGTATCCTCCCCTCTCAAATCTTACCTTTAAAGATAAATTGATTAAGTACTGTTTATTTGTTCCTTAATAGGAAGTTCATTTTTTTGAATGAAACTCCTTCCAAGGATTTACATGTTAAGACTTATCTTTACTATTCTTATAATAATTGTTGTTGTTGTTTAAAAGGAGCTGTGATATCCTGAAGGAAGTGAAGTAACTTTGTATCAGTGGATTTTTCTGGACAACTGTACTCCCAGAGTTGTCCAGAAAAAAAATATACACTTTATATACACTTATATCTTAAAGAGAAATAAAAAACTATTCTTAAAATGGCTTGAAAATACCAGTTGAGGGAAAAATGAATTTAGAGTATTTTTTAAAGGCCTAAATAAAAAGAGACTGCCCAGACTACCTGCTGGAATGAACGACTCAGAAATAAAAGATCTGGGGGCTTTTAGAGGCAGCAACTATTACGAATTCACAAGGGTAGTGAGAAATCTGTGGAGATGGTGGGACACAAATTAGACATTGATGGGATGGAAATTTTTCATTGTTAATTTTTCATTAACAATTCAAACTATCTGCATATTTGGTTTCACACAAACTGAAATTCTAGATGATTGACTTATTACACCTATGACAAATCGGATTTTAGGTTTTTGTTGTTTTTGCTTTAAGAAGATGCAGTCTTGGAAAAAATGGAGAAAATAGTTCCTCAGAGACAGAGACTTATTGAAGTCAGGAGATAGGAAGTTAATTTTGAGTAGTTTCAATCCATTTAGACAAGACAATCTACAATGGTTTGAATATTTGTCCCATCCAAAACTCATGTTGAAATTGAACCAACAATATGGCAGTATTGAGAAAGGGGCCTTTAAGAGGTGATGGGTTGTGAGGGGTCTACCATTAATGGATTAATGGCTTAATGGGTTTATGGACTATGGATGATCATGGAAGTGGGACTCGTGGCCTTATAAGAAGAGGAAGAGAGACCCAAGCTAGCACACTCAGCCCCCTTGCCATGTAATGCCCTTTGCCAAAGGGGGACTCTGCACAGAGTCCTCACCAGCAAGAAGGCCCTCACCAGTTGGTGTCCCTCAATCTTGGACTTCTCAGCCTCCGTAACTATAAGAAATAAATTCTTTTTCTTTATAAATTGCCCATTCTCAGCTATTCTGTTATAAGCTACAGAAAATGAACTAAAACACTATCCTTTTAACCTGAGCTTTAATAAATGTTAACTCTTGCTGCCCTTTTCCTAACTTTGTACATGAATAACTTCTTTGTAATACCCCATAGCTTCTCTCCAGACTTGGCTTCTTCCAAGACTGCTGACCCCAGGATTTAAAAGCCTATCTTCATCTGTAATCCCCACATTCTGGGAGGCCAAGGCAGTCCAATCACCTGAGGTCAGGGGTTCAAGACCAGCCTGGCCAACATGGTGAAACCCTGTCTCTTCTAAAAATACAAAAAGTTAGCCAGGCATCGTGGTGCATGCTTGTAATCTCAGCTACTTGGGAGGCTGAGGCACGAGAATCACTTGACCCTGGGAGGTGGAGGTTGCAGTGAGCTGAGATCACGCCACTGCATTTTCCAACCTAGGTGACAGAGTGAGACTCCGCCTCAAAAAAAAAAAAAAAAAAAAAAAAAGAGAAAAAAAAATAAAAGCCTATCTTATTCTCTTCTCCTTTCAGCATGGTCATTGCCTCTAATTCAGAGCCTCCTTTTTTACTCTTTGCAGTCTGGCAGCTGCCACTACCAACCTGATAACATTGCTCCCTGGAGGAGACGTTGAGGACCATTTCCCCAGAAATGTGAGCTAAAACCAAACTGCTAAAAGACATTTTTTGCTGGGTGTTGTGGCTCATTTCTGTAATCCCAGCACTTTGGGAAGCTGAGGCAGATGGATTGCTTGAGCCCAGGAGTTTGAAACCAGCCTGGGCAACATAGTAAGACCCTGTCTCTACTAAAAATAAAAATAATAAAAAAGGACATTAGCTGGGTGTGGTAGTGTGCCCCTGGAGTCCCAGCTATTTGGGAGGCTGAGGTAGGAGGATTGTTTGGGCTTGGAGGGTGAGGCTGCAGTAAGCTATGATTGCACCACTGCACTCCAGCCTGGGCAGCAGAGTGAGACCCCATATCAAAAAATAAATAAATAAAAATAAAAGACATTTTTAAGATATGTAATGAAGGGAGATGGTTGGGGAGGAGAGGAAGACAAAAGATACAACTCCGGGGGATGGTGGAGGTTTACCAAGAGGAGAAACCAGCAAGACACACAGTGGGAACAACCATGAGGGAAGAGGTGACTGAGGGACTGTATTGTTACTGCAGCCTCGGAAGCAGCAAACATAAAAAAGTTACCCTTTCTGCCCCACCCAAGCTCAGAGCCTCCTCACTGATTTTCCTACTCCCAGGCCCTCCCAGTGCCACTGTGGTTCACACTGAGCACTGGTCCTGGGGTCCTAGCAGTCATCATTTTACACAATTTGATCCTGTTCAGCTCTTCTGGTTTTGTCTCTCTTTCTTTCCTTCTTCTGAAAGTCTAGCTGGAGAAAATAACTCTCCATACCCCGGAACACACACCGCGTTTTCCCATCTTTAGCTCTCTGCTCACTAATGACTTCCCCTCTAATGTCCATCCCCATCATATCATCTCCACCCACCCAAGTCCTACCCATAAAAGGAGAAAAAAAAAAAGAAAAAAAGAAGCAGAGTCTCATTCCATCTCCCAGGCCAGAGTACAATGGTGCAATCACAGCTCACTGTGGCCTTGACATCCTGGGCTCAAGCTATCCTCCTACCTCAGCCTCCTGAGTAGACGGGACCACAGGCAGGCACCATGCCTGGCTAAATTTTTTTTTTCTTTTTAGACAGAGTTTCACTCTGTTGCCCAGGCTGGAATGCAGTGGCTTGATCTTGGCTCACTGCAACCTCTGCTTCACAAGTTCAAGTGATTCTTGTGCCTCAGCTTCCTGGGTAGCTAGGACTACAGGTGTGCTCCACCATGCGTGGCTAATTTTTTTGTATTTTTACTAGAGATGGGGTTTCCCCCATGTTGGCCAGGCTGGTCTTGAACTCCTGACCTCAAGTGATCCACCCACCTTTGCCTCCCAAAGTGCTGGGATTACAGGCGTGAGCTACTACACCCAGCCCAATTTTTTAAAATATTTTTTTGTAGAGACAGGGTTGTTATGTTGCCCAGGCTGGTCTTAAACTCCTGGGCTCAAGCAATCCTCCCACTTCTGCCTCCGAAAGTGGTGGGATTGCTGGTGTGTGCCACCGTGCCCAGCCCCAGCTCAACTCCGTAATGGGTAAATGAATAACCAAATGATGGCTCCAGTACAATCTTGATCACAGTCACACGGCCTCAATTCTCAGTATGATCTGAAATCTGCCCATAGTGCTGCACTTTGAACAGATCAGCAGCACAGATTTTTCACTGATACCCACAGAAATTACCATAGTTTAGATTATCAGATGTCTAAAGGAACATACGTCCTCATAGTTCCCACACCCAAACACATTTTTTTGCACATACAGCAGTTATCAAAAAGTGCCCCAGACTTTTCTCCTGAGCTACAAATATACAATGCCCTGCCTGCCCTCCTATCCTTAGCTCTATATTTTCAGTTCTTTCTCTCTCATTTATTGATTTTAACACCTTTCTTGCTCTGGTTTATGTGATATTATCTTGTAGGGAATTAAGTAGATGCTTCCAATTAGATTCATTACAAGTTCCCTTAAGAAGCGATTAGGAAGGTAAGAGTCCCAAGCGGCTGGTTCCCTCAGTAATACCAGCAGCATTTTTAGGGTGCATGCCAATATCAGACCAGGTTTTAAGTGCCACATTACTCCTTTATCACCAAGGGATCCTTGGAAGCTTGCAAAACTGAGTGCAGCTGAGCATAAAGTAGTGTTTTATTGAATGCCTTATGTGGCAATTACAAAGAAAACAGAAATATGAATCCCTCATCAAAAGGCAGTTTAGGAGGGGTAGTCAATCAGTGCATGGACCCTGTAGTCTAATGGTACTGGCTTTAAATTCCAGTGCCAGCTATAGGATTTTGGAAAATTACTTAACTTCTCTGAGCCTGTTTTCTCATCTGCTAAATGGGGGTAATGGTATAGTAATAGCGCTTTGGGGAGAATTAAATTAATTAAATTAAATTAAATTAATTCAGCACAATACTTGGTACATAGAGTTCAAATAAATGGCAGCTATTATCATTACCATGAAAATTAAAATTCCAGTGAATCACATGACCTGCCTTCCATTTCCAAAACTACGACCTTTTAGTTGCTAAGTTATTTGTGAAGTCTATGGGCTTTAAGAAAGATGGCAAGAAGGGAAAGAGGGAAAAGGGAAGAAGTTTTCCTATTTTCCATGGGTCAGGTTTTCATTGCTACTGAACTCTTTATACAAGCATAATAGAGATAATATTTTGAAAATATTAATAGTTTTCTTTCCCTTTAGAAAACTGCAAACTCCACCTCCTGGGTTCAAGCAATTCTTCTGCCTCCAGAGTAGCTGGGATTGCGGCATGCACCACCACGCCCAGCTAATTTTTGTATTTTTAGTAGAGACAGGATTTTGCCATATTGGCCAGGCTGGTCTCAAACTCCTGGCCTCAAGTGATCTGCCCGCTTCGGCCTCCGTAAGTGCCGGGATTACAGTTGTGAGCCATCATGCCCAGCCATTCTATCCCCTTCTTTATATCTGGTTCTACTATTCAACTAATATAGCCTAAATACCTCCTTATTGGGGATAGAGGAAAACCTGATATAGAAGCAGTTCTTCCTGTTGGCCTGGTGGATTGTGGGAAAAATAACAGAAGGCAAATTGTAGCAAAAGCAAGTGGGCAGACACTTGTGTCCTGGCTTGCCTCCTCCGGGCCACAGTCTGGAAGAGGAAAGAAGAGGATATGGTACATAAACTGGGGGAGAGCCAGATGCAAAAGCAGAGGGGGCTTGTGCCCCAGTCCTAGCTCAGAACTCTGAGAAGAGACTGTGGTGTAGAATGGCTTACACCAACCTGGTGCTACCACAGAACAAGGAAGGCGGCAGAGAGGCATGGTTCCACAGAAAGAGGGCCTGTGTTCCCACTCCTAAACTTGCCTTTCCTCTTAAAAGGCATAGAAGGGCTCCAGAAGTTCCCAGACTCCCCCTGTAGAACCAGACAAGGTAGGTAACAGAATTGGCAGCTTCAGGACCTGCTATAATGGAGCCTCTGTAGTTAGGGGTGAGATAACACTAACGTCAAGGCCAGGGGCTAGAGAGAGGACCTGGCTGAACTCGGTGGCATCTGCAGTCCTGGCAAATGTAAGGTAGGGTGGGTCTAACTGAGCCTAGGAACAACACTGCACTTGGGGAAGACCACTGTAAGGCTGTGGGAACCTGACTGGATCAGCCACTTCAGAGCAGAGGCAGGAGATAGGATAGGCCCTGCACTCATATCAAGGCTCATCTCCCCCTACAGTGGGATCCACATGCCCAAACACCATCTGGTAGAGAAGTAGGGAATGAACAAAGGGGATATTGGAAAGATAGCTAATCTACCCTGTGTGGAAAAGAATGAACTTTGCACAAAGAGAAGTTAGGCCTTTGCTTCTGAGAGTATTTTAAGCCTTTGTAATGTCCTGCCTGATAAGATGGGGTTACCTGGCAGCCTAAGACCATGCCAGATAGTCTATGCTAATAATGTGATTATGGTGGGGCTTTAGGCCTTGCAATATCAACCCAACCTCTGGAAGGCTGGAAGCTAAGGTGGTCAATGGGTGGTCAACCATATCTACTGGTAGTCAACCATATCTATGTAACCAAGCCCCAGTTAAAAACTCTGGACACCAAGGCCCAAGTGAGTTTCCCTGGCTGGCAATACTCTGTGCGTATTGCCCAACATCATTGCTGGGAGGAATTAGCACTGTCTAGAGTTCCACTGTGATAGGACAACTAGAAGCTTGCACTTGCAACTCTCCTGGACCCTGCCCCATCATGCCTCTTCCCTTTGCTGATTTTCATTTCTTACTTTTCACTGTAATAAACCATAACTGCGAGTATAACAGTTTTCAGTGAGTTCTATCAATTATTGAACCTGAGGGTTGTCCTGGGGGACTCCTGATTTCCACAAACCCCAAAGAGACTGGGCCAACTGGAGTGAGTAAAGAAAGATTGCATCCATTAGAGCAAATCAAGAAGCCTCATTGTCTTATAGAATTTCAGTGGTGCTTTGTAAATATGTGACCCTACTACTCAAGCAAGTAAAGACTTCTTACCACTCCAAATAAGGCATGGATGAAGGAATCACAGCTAGCTAGTCTTTTTTTTTTTCAAACTAAAGAAGGGGACATGTGTACTGCCTTCAAACATTACAAAGCTATCGTATAAGAAAGGAACTAGAATTAGTGTTTGTCTAGCTGAAGGGTTATATAAAGCCCGGCTGGTGGAAGTTATAGAGGGCCAGGTTTCAGTTTAAGCACAAACTTAGTGACAACCAGAGGCCTCTAAAAAACACAAGCAGCTAACTCAAAGATAGCTGAGTTCCTCATCACCAGAGATCTTAGAGGCCAATGACCCCTTGTACTGAGATTGTGTATAGAATGAAAGTTGACTCAAACATCCTTTAAGTTACATTCCAAGCTGAAAGCCTGTGATTGAGAAGTAAGATAATGTGGCCAAATGTGAACAGTTGGTGGTGAGTCTACATATGGATGTTTATTCTTTCAACTTCTCTGTAGGTATGAAATTTTTAAAAAATTGGAAGCAAACAAAAAAGGAAAAAGAAACATTTTGGAAACTACCTGGTGGCTGGAAATTCTCAGTCATTTCTAAAAATAAACAGAAATTTATTTTCTCACAATTTAGGATTAGAGTCAAGGATAATGAGTATTGCGTCTGATGAAAATATGTGTTGGTTCCCACATTTTACCACTACCGGCACAGCTACGTTTTTAGTCCTTTTATATTTAGCAATTTCAATGGACTGAATTGTGTCCTGTTAAAATTCATGTGTTGAAACCCTAATTCCCAAGGTGACTGCATTTGGAGATAGGGCCTTTAAGAGGCCATTAAGATTTAAATAAGTCATAAGAGTAAGGCTCTAATTTGATAGGATTGGTAATCTTGTAAGAAGTGTCAGAGAGCGAGGCAGGATAGGGGAGAAAGAGGAAGACAGAAAGAGAAGGGGATAGAGAGAGAGAGAGAGATCTCTTCCCACCCTTTGAGAACACAGTGAGAAGGCAGCCATCTGCAAGCCAGGGAAAGAGTCCTCACCTGACACTGCTGCCAGACCTTGCTCTTGGACTTTCCAGCTTCAAGAACCATGAAAAAAAATAAATGTCTATTGTTTACGTTACTCCATCTATAGTATTTTGTTATGGCAGCCCTAGCACACTAAGACAATGACCTTTTAATGACTTATTGACTTATTTCCTGCCTGTGTAATATTATTCATATTACTATGGCTCTTATATACAATTAGGTATATACTTAAACCTTAGTATATTTATAGAAACAGACAAAGCATTAACAGTGCATTTCTGAAGATGTTTTTCAGATGCACTATCACGCAAGCACACAAGACAGCAGGTGATAGTGCCAGCAATTACTGCAGGATTGACTCCAAATCCCATCATCCTGGGAGGAACTGGCAAGAGAAGATCATGAAACTTGTCAATAGCATTGCTACTATACGAAATAAGAATGACCCAGATAGTTGATGAAACCAAGATTAGGATTTGCTGTAAACACTAGTGTCTGTACATATATTAATGTCTGAGGAGATAGGGTTGGAATTTTACAAATCATATTCGTTCAGAATTGTAAACATACAAAACGATTTTCCTGCTCTCTACTGGAGCAGCACCATCTGCTGGACCCACTCAAAATGCAAATTCTCCAACCCTGATGGAACTAAGCAAAGTCAGCAGCCTCCTCTACCTGCTCCTTTTCTGGACCCTAACATCCCCCTTCTTGTTTCCTGACACTGGCTGACACTTCCTTCCTGTGCTCATAAATATAGATTAGCTATTTATATTTCTTGTTTCCATTATGTTTCCTGCAGCTTTGTTCCCCGTGTATAATGTATGTTAGGAGAATGAATGTGAGGAATCTCTGTCAGGAGGTTTTTAATAAAAAAGGTCGTCTTTAATTTTGCAGAGAAGAACCTTGAAAGGGGAAGCTATTTCAAGGGTGTAGTCCTCCTTAAGCTCAGTTCTTTTCCCAAATACAGTGTGTGTGTGTGTGTGTGTGTGTGTGTGTGTGTGTGTGTTATCACTTGCCTAGTTTCCTGTCTCTATTTCTAACCTGTTGACCTCTAAGCTCCAAATTTCCCTCCTCCGACCTTTTCCTCTTTCCTCTTTCTCCTTTCTGGCTCCGCAGACTCTGAGGCTAAACCTGTTCTTAGCCAGAAGATGTGTAACAAGCTCCACACTCAATGCTAATCTATTGCTGATTCAGCCCTTGCCTTTACCCTGGTTCTAGCAGATTCTTACTGAACGCACTTCCCATACTCAACCCTCAGTTCCCTTAGTGAACTTTGCCTGTTTAACCTAATGCCTGAGTGCCTTCCTTAATTATCTGCCCAGATCCTCCATTTTTTTGTGGCTCTCATGGGGGAAAATGTTGGGAGAACAATTTGAATAAAAGAACATGCCAAGATTGCTGGGAGATGGTTGAAAAAAAATCAGTGATGGTGTGTAACACCATAACACAGCATTGAACTCCCTGGAGAGCCAACTCCAAGATGGAGACCAATGTGTAGGAGGTTTATTAGGGTGTTCCCATGTGGTCAACACCCATGGAAAGAAAGCAGGATGGAGCAGAGCTAGTAGTTGAACTGCAGCACAGCCTCAAAGCCTCAGGCGATCCTTCAGGGAGTTCTAAAAATAAGATAACCCTTCCAAGGTGACTTGACTGGGGACAAGAGAGGTCTCAACCTTCATACCTCTTGTCGATCAGCCACTGGCTGTGGGCCTCCAGCAGGGGCTGTGACCTCAGGCAAAGAGTCTATCTGCAACTAAGGCAGGGGCTGTGACCTCAGGCAAAGAGTCTATCTGCAACTAAGGCAATGCCCCAACGGAAGTGACCCAGAGAGCTATCATCTAGCAGCAAGGAAAGTAAGTCCTCAGGAGACTTGGTCTTTCCTAAAGGAGAATAAGTCTTTCCTGAAGAGACATCTGGGCAGTGCATCCCAGTGTTCCCTACCCTTATGTCATCTCACCTCCAGGAAGTACCATTACTTCCTCTGCCTAGTACACAACATATTTTATTTTTCATCTCACTCTCAATCTGGAAGTGATTCCAAACCCCAATTCCAAACACTAGAAGGATTAACCCCTCTTGCGACAAGCAGCCCCAGAAGAAGGTGCACAGACAGTGCTGAGCAGCACAGGGAGTAGTTGAGGAGAACACAGTGAAAGGAAAGCAGAACCTGTTCCATGGGGGTGAAGAACCAGAAGCCAAAATTTCACAGAGCATACGCATGAAAGACAAGATACCATGGATAGAGTGAACTTGGAATAGGTAGCAATGGAGACCTTCCCACAACTGCGAAATGATTGGCCAGGAGTCAATGACCTAGAATATAATAATCAAAAACCATGAATGACAGAAGAGAAAACCAGACCAGAAAATATATGAACAGAAACCATCCTCCTAGCCAAGCTAGTCTAAGGGCTTTCCCCAGTTTTCTTAAGAAAAAAAGAGAGAGAGAGAATTTTATAACTTTCCTTGTTCTACAAATGATTTGCTTTGGTAGATCCTTAGTGAGTAGGAAGAGAAAATGTATACCAGAACCCTCTTGCTTATCTGAAATGACTCCTGGTAAATATTGGACATAATACTCTTCCTACATCATTGACATAGATATCATATACACACATAGATATATATATCGGCATGTAGATATTTATATAGATATACATGTATAGATATCTGCATATATATATTTGTATACAGATATAGACATATAAATATTAATATACCTATATATGTATATAAATACATATACATATCTATATCTGTAGAAGATATCTACCATCTTCTATCTATATATCTTCTATCTTCTATCTATAGAACTATCTTAATTTAAAAACCTTTCATATATGCATATAAAAGGTAATCAAACACAAGCCAAATGAAAATTTGTTTAGCTATGTTAATATCAGACAAAAGAGATTTTAAGGCAGAAATTATTACCTGAAAGGAAGATGTATCCATCATCCATATAAAAGAATCAACTATTGAGGAAGTTGTCAAACTTGTGTATGTATATTCACTCACACAGAGTTAACACACATTTACAATTTTTATAGAACTAAAAGGAGCAATAGCCGCATCTTTGATCATAAAGACTTTAATATACCTTTTTCAATAACTGATAGCAAAAAGGATACAAAATATCAATAATAATACAAAAATTTAAAGCAGTAGGATTAAATACTTTGATATAAAAACTGCACCCAAAAATAGCAAAACACACAATTTATTATAATGTATTTGGAACGTGTTTCAAAATTTACCATAGCTATCTATAGATATCTCTGTCTATCTAGGTAGATAGATGATAGATAGATAGATAGATAGGTAGGTAGATAGATAGATAGATAGGTTAGATAGACAGATATAGGCTGAGGTTAGGCCCATAACAAGAATCAATAAATACCAAAAATTTGAAATCCTTGACAGTGTTTTTTTGTACAACAATGTTATTAAGCTGCAAATCTATAGCAAGACTTTGAAAGTAACCAAATGTTTAGAAATTAAGCATCACATTTCTAAGTTATTCATGCATCAAAAAAGTAATTACAATGAATATTAAAATATATTTTGAATTTAATAAAAATGAAAGTAAAAATACTGCTTGTTAAAAGATGGGAGGCTTAGGCAAACCTCAGCTTGGAGATAAATGCATATGCTTGTTTAAAAAATTAAAGCTTGAAAATTAATAATCTAATTGTCAATCTCAAAAATTTAAAATGTGATGTCAAATTAAATCCAAAGAATTAGAAAAGAGAAGATACATAAGAAGCATGAGAAAAGGAAACAATCATAAAATAAATGAAATCAGCAAAAGCCAAAGTTACTTTGAAAAGACTGATAAAAATATACCATGATTATGCGTGAAATTAAAAAAAAAAAGAGTATCCACAAATTCTAAATATCATCAATAATAACAAGGAAATCATTATAGATTCTATAGTCATGGGATAGAAAAAGAGAATGTAATAAGTAACTTTAAGTCAAAAATTTTGACATAATTTGATGAAATAGATACATTTCTAGAAAATCATTAACAGTGACACAAGAATAAATAGCAAATCCGAATAGCTCTATATCTATTAAAAATAAAATTACAATTAAAGCTTTCCAAATATAGTGAGTCTAAATCAAATAAAATATTAAAAATCTGAAATGTTTCCAGGAAGAAACATTGAATTCCTAATATAAAATATAACATAGCATATGCAATCCCTTTACTGAAAATTGTGAGATTTTACTGAGAGAAATTAAAGATATTCAACAGAAATAAAGGTGTACCATGTTCCTATGTCATTCTTGGTATTAGAAGAAAGATTCAGTATTTTAAATAAATCTATATTTGTAATACACTGAAAATCACAATACTGTGATTAGTAATAGCATAATTTGTCTGCATTATATTTGGTGGCAACTGAAAAACTGACTATAAAATGCAAATGAAAATGCAGTGTATAGATAACTTTGAAGAAAAAATATAATGTGAAGACTTACACTATTAGATATAAAGTTTTTATAAATGTATATCAATTATGACATTATGGAAAAGGTGCAAGTATAGATATTTCAATGAAACAGAATAGAGAGCTCATAAAGAGAACCACACAATATATTTAGCTGATTTGTGAAAAAAATAGTGCTTCAGTACAATGAGGAAAAGATTCATTTTCAATAAATTGTGGTGTCTTTCATACATCGGTACAGAGAAAAATGAATATTAACATCCAACCTCACAACATACACAAAAATTATTTCATATAGAAGCCAATGTGTAACATAAAACAGTACAGTTTTTAAAAAGTAATACAGAGGACACTTCTATGACCTTAAGATTTAAAAAAAGACTCAAAAAGTAACTATTGAAGGCTAGTAAATAAGATAAATAGGTTAATAAATAGTAATAAAATAACATAAAAAATAGGGATTTGTAATCATAAAATAACTCACTGAGTGAAAAGGCAAGCAACAGAATGGGAAATGAAATTTGCAAACATAAATACAATAAGAACTCTTGATCGAAAGATACTTTTTAAACTCTACAAATGAATTTTTTGAAAAAAAAAAAAAATATGGCCAGGTACGGTGTCTCACGCCATTAATCCCAGCACTTTGGGAGGACCACTTGAGCCCGAGAATTTGAGACTTGTCTGGGCAACACAGTGAGAGACCTCTGCCTCTACAAAAAATTTAAAAGATTAGCCAGGCATGGTGGCCGTGGCCTGTAGTCCTAGCTACTCCTAAGTAGCTAGGCTCTTTTGAGTCTGGGAGGTCAAGGATGCAGTGAGCTCTGATCAACTGCTGCACTCCAGCCTGGGTGACAGAGTCAGAACCATCTCCAAAAAAAATTGATGTAGAAGAACTTCTAAGAAGTGAGAGTGGAGACAGAGGCCAAAGATGCTGCTCTAGGCTGCTCCGTGAATTCCAGGACTTCTGAGAAGCACCCTCTGGACAGCGTCTTTACTGCCCTCAAGGACTCAGCTGGTCAGCAATGGCCAGCCAGACTCCATCCCCAGTGTGGAGAGGAGGTAGCTGATCCCAGAGGCGCTCCTAGCAGGCATGTGGAACCCAAGAACAGCTCGCCCTGCCAAGGCAATGGAGAGCAGGCTGGCAAGGCAGGAGCTCAGGCTCTGTGTGGGCAGGCAAGGAGGAGCCCCGCAACCATGCCACCACCCCTTACTACAAGAAGCCTCTGTATGGCATCTTGCACAAGGTCATGGAGAAGAAGAACCCTCCCTCAGGGGACCTGCTAAACACATATGAGCTCTTCCAGAAGGCAAATGCCAGCAACAGCCCCTTGCTGCTTAGGCTCCTGAATGAGCCATAGAAATGGGACTGTGGCAGCACTGGGGCAGCCACCAACAGTGACCCTAACATCTACTTCCTGATCCAGGAGATGTTCTACATGCTCAACACGCTCACGTCCAACAGGTCCCAGCTGCACAGCAAAGTGGACCTGCTCTCCCTGAAGGTGAACCCCACTGAGATGGTGGCCAAATTCCAGCCGACCCCCACCACCCCATAGCAGCTCACGGGCATGGAGCTCAAGCAGATCTTGGACCAGAGCCTGTCAGGTGGGGTCCTGGCCTGCTGGCTGCTGGTGCAGCTCTTCCCCAAGCTCTTCAGCCACAGTCAACTTCTCCCAAGGCTGCAGTGCCTGCAGCTTTGAGGCCAAGCTTAAGCTGGAGTCACTGCACCTGCAGCTCATCCACAACTACATGGAGGTCTACTACCCCTCGGTGAAGGAGAGGGCTGTGTGACAGGCCGAGTGCTTGCCCCAGCTGAGTAAGTTCTTCAGCCGCTTCTGGGCCCAGCGGGAGATGGAGAACAGCCAGCCTGGTGGCCAGGCTGCCAGCTTGAGGCTGAGCAGTGGACCCCGGCCACTTCCTGGACCACAAAGATGAGGAGGAGGGCCTGTCTCTGGACAGGAGCAGCACCATCGCCTCAGACCACGTGGTGGACATGTAGGCCCTCACCTAGTTCCTGGATGAAGCCTCTTCACCCGGTGAGTTTGCCGTCTTCCTCCTCCACTGGCTCTTCCCTGAGCTCTTCCACTACAGCAAGCTGGGTGAGCAGGACAGCTGCTACGGGGACGGCGGCAAGCAGGAGCTGGACCCGCAGAGGCTGCAGATCATCAGCAACTACACGGAGGTCTACTTCCCCCACATGCAGGAGGAGGAGGCCTGGCTGCAGCGGTGCGCCCAGTGCATCAACGACAAGCTCCAGGGCCTGGGGCTGGACGCGGGCAGCGAAGGCAAGCCCCCCACGCAACAACTGCTACAACTCCTCCAGCCTGCCCGATGACATCTCAGTAATCAGGGTGGAGGACAGCTTCAAGGGCGAGCGGTGCCGCTCCAAGAAGATCTGACTGGTACCTATCGACTTGGACAAATTGGAGATCCCCAGCCCAACTTGGAGTTGCCCGGCGCCGACTGCCTGCTCAGCAACGAGCATCTTCGCAGTATCTAGGAGAGCAGCCTGTCCATCGGCAACTTCACCTCGCGCCTGCTGGTGCCCCTGTTCCCCAAGCTCTTCACCCATGACAACCTGCACAAGCAGTACAGCTGCAGCGACTCCCTGGGCAAGAAGCAGCTGGACCCGTCCTGCATCAAGCTCATTCGCCACTAAGTGCACCTGCTCTACCTCTGCACCAAAAACAATCGCGTCTGGACCCTGGAGTTCATGGGCAACCTGCACTGGAACACGAACAGAGGCGCTCCTACCAGCAGCAGTGCAAGGTCCACGTGCTGGCCCCGAGTGTAGAAACATGAGGAGCTATGCAATCAATCCTGAGAGGTTCAGGGAGGAGTTTGAGGGTCCCCCGCTGCCCCTGAGAGGAGCAGCAAGGACTTCTGCAAGATCCCCTTGGATGAGGTGGTGGTCCTTCACCGAGCTTCCCAGTGCGCTCTCCCTACCTGCTGTCCGACAAGGAGGTGCGCGAGATCGTGCAGCAGAGCCTCTCCGTGGGCAACTTTGCCGCGGGGCTCCTCCACCGCCGAGAACTTCCGGCTGCAGTACAACCATTTCCGGGCTTGCAACAAGAAGCAGCTGGACCCTACGCAGCTGCGGCTCATCTACCACTAGGTGGAAGCCGTCTACCCCGTGGAGAAGGTGGAGGAGGTGTGGCACTGCGAATGTATCCCCAGCAATGATGAGCAGTGCCACTGCCCTAACAGGAAAAAATGCGGCATCCTCAAGAAAGCCTAGAAAGTGGAGAAGTGAAGGCCCATGGCCTGCCCAGAGACTCGGGGTCACTAGAGACTGAGCTTAGGAGCATGCCTATGGCATCCACAGACAGGCACCTTATGTCCGTGGGGTGTGTGGCTTACTACACTTGCACATGTAAACACCCAACCAACCACAAGAAAGAAGACTTGAGTTTGGTCTCTTGTCCTCTAGACTTCTGTCCTGTGTTCCCTGGCGGTGCAGCCTGAGTGTGGGGAGCGCAAGCTGTGAGAGCAGGGACTAGTGGGTAGCGGTCCTCTCTACCTGGTCGTGTCCTCCCCAGCCCCTCACAATTTCAAATGCAAACTCAGCAGCTCTCTTGCTCCTCTTCCCATATTTTACAGCTTTCATTTTTATCCAGTTTTTTAAAAATTAAAAATAAACCCTTAAAAAAATCATTGGGCTCTTTGGGGGCCATTTTACTTAGAAAAAAATCTTTTTAAAAGTGCCATCTTCAGTCCAGGTGCGGTGGCTCATGCCTGTAATCCCAGCACTTTGGGAGGCCAAGGCAGGTGGATTACCTGAGGTCAGGAGTTCAGGACCAGCCTGGCCAACGGTGAAACCCCATCTCTACTTAAAAAAAAAAAAAAGCAAAAATTGGCCAGGTATGGTGGTGGGTGCCTGTAATTCCAGCTACTCGGGAGGCTGACAGGAGAATCACTTGAACTCGGAAGGCAGAGGTTGCAGTGAGCCAACATAGTGCCACTGAGCGCCAGCCTGGGCGACAAGAGCAAAACTCCATCTCAAAATAAATAATAAATAAATAAATAAGTAAATAAAAGTGCCATGTTCGTGTACAATGCCTAATCACAGCTTCAGGTGGCATGGATACTGATTTTACTGACCTTGTCTTTTACATCTGATTCTGGAAGAGTCAAGAGGCCTCTTGGATGGCAGTAGAGGGGATGGAACAGTGTGAAGTCCTTTGTGACCATGTGCAAGTTTTCCCTTCTGCTCCAGTGCCTCAGAAGTCTTCCATTCAGCTTGGCCTGTCCATCAGGCACGTGGGTAAAATGTTGTGCTCACTGTGTAGAGGAGAACACTTGATGATGATGAAGAATGTAGAAAGCCATGGAAACATGTCCGCAGTGTCTTCATTTGAGCTGTGTCCTTCCACTGTCCTCATTCCCTCTCCACACATGGTTGCTTGTCGGAGATTCTGGGTTCTGGGAGCTGTGTGGTGACTTCCCCAAACCTCAGTGTTAGCTCCTCCAGGCAGCACCACATCCTCGTTCCCCAGGGCGGGTCCATGTCTGGGCACCTCTTGGGGATACCAGGCATTGGAAGGACACAGGTCATCTCAGATGGGGCACCCATGTCCCTTCCCAGAGTCCACTCAGAACTTTCCCCTTGGACTCCCTAGAAAGTCCTGCTGTCCTCCACCTGGCTACCTCTTGGCTTTAGGAGACACATGTCTTCTCTCCCCACTGACTGAGAATGTCAGACTCCTGCCGGCCAGCTGCATGCTTTCCAGGAGCACCAACAAGGAAATTCCCTGACAGGTAAAATCTTTAAAAATGACACTTTTACCTTCCTGACTTTGGGGGCCAAATGCCTAAGAGGGAAAGGAAACAGTCTAACCAGAGTCCAGGAAAATTAATTGAATCCCATGGGGTAGACATAAAACCCCTGTGGGAATATTACAGGTTCAATAACCTAATGGCTTAGTATTTTGCTACTTTAAAATGCAGAGATAACAGAAACAATCTGAATATTCTTCATATAGCTGGTAAGGACTTCAGTTCCAGTGGCCATATGACATAATTTTGCCTGTACCCAGAGGCATTTTTAAAAATATAACATCAGATTTTAAGGAATGTAAAGTTGCTAATCTAACTTGTAAATTTGCTTGTGTCATTTACAGATTATTTCTGTTGAAACTGCAAACCTGAATTACTGAAATCTAGAAAGGCACAGGGACTTACTCTGTCACACACAGCTACTCATGCACACACACACTGCTTACTAAAAGCTGAGGTGAGAGGAAGGGGGCCTACATGAATAACAAGTTCAACTTCTTTGTGCCTGGAAAGAAGGGACTAGCGCAGCCAGGAGACTCACTTTACCTCATCGCTTGGGCCCTTCTCTATGCCTTAGTCTCTCCAGCACATGCACACAGCATGCACACACAGGCGCCCTACCCAAAGACAGCTGTGGCCTTCTCTCCACCTGGCCGCTGGTTGTTGGGGGTGAGGGGTCCCATGAAATTTGTTCTGGTTTCTACGATGTAAACAAGAAGACTCTAAGCCCTGAATTGCCCTGCTTTCTAGAGGGTGAAATGTTGACCCTGCAACTTTAGAAGCACAATTATTAATAACTCTTTTGAAATTCCCATCTACCCATGTCAGAGAAGTTCAACAAGTTCTAGGAATTAAATATGTCTGTTTGTAACCTAGAGCATGCTCAATTTTTGGAAGCCATATTTCAGTGATGATTTTCTTAACACCTTTCTCGTGTAGGGCTTCTTCCCTGAAAATCTTACAGTCCCTTTCTGTGAAGAGAAATGGACACATCCTGGGAACTATTCCTGTGCCTCTGGACTGTCATCAGGAAATGACTGCAGGTCCTGTGCCCTGTCTATATTATGTCCTCACTTCTCCATCCATACAGGTGGCTCCAGTGGGCATTTTTTTAATTTTAAACTTTTTACACGAAGCAATAGAAGTAGAAAATACTGATTTTTTTCAAAATTTAATGTGTTCCATGAAATCTACTGGCAATCCCTTTCCTTCCCCCTGTCTAAATTCTTTGGTTTTTACTTGTTTGTTTGTTTTTTTTGTCTTGTATCCCAAGGACTAAAAAATTAGCAGACACGTTTTGATGTTGAGTGAACTAGTAAGTCACAGTAGGTGGTAGGGTTCATTGGTTTCTCTGTTAGTAAGTTTTTAAAGAATGAAGATAGTTATAAATGTACTGAGTGGCCGTTTAATTGGTAAGGGTCGCTGGCCCAAAAACACTAGAGCATGGCCACGTGGTTTCCTGTAGAGATGGCCTCAGTTTCCAACATTCCCCCCAAATGTTTGCTTCTCACCCAATAGAGGGGGGATCTTGAGACTCCCAAGTGGAGGTTGTGAGCTTGCACCCTGCCTCACTGTGTAGACAGACTGTATGGATATATGAAGTGGGGGTGGGGGCCAAGGGGCTATTACTGCTGTTTGGAAATATTTGCCTCTTGTAGATCCAGCCTTAATGGTTTTGTGACATCCTAGTACTAGCAAACCCTGCACAAAGTGGGTATCAGAGTTAATACTGTGAGGAGACAAAGTAGTGAGAATAGTTTTGCTAAAGACAATGAAGTATCACATAATGTCTGCATTTTACCATTGATTTGAGTGCATCGTTAGAAAAACTTAATGTAATGAAAAACCCAGGACATTTTTGGAAATTGTATGCTCTCTAGCAACTTTGTGTGAATTTTTATACAAACACTGTTTTATGAGTTACATAAAATGTTATAAAAATAGAAAAAAAGAGGAAATTATCCTATACTCTCCTGGTACAAGCACAGACCACACACTCACAGCTCTAGAGTGGACACACAGCCACCACATTTCCTGAATAAATTCACACTCTTCAGATTACACAAACTCAAACATGCAGATGCCTGAATAACACACCCACGATATACTCACAGATCCAAATACACACATGGCTATATACTCCCAAATACAAACATACACAAGCCTCCATCTTGAAAACTATAAATATTCTGTCCATATCCTCAGGTTACATACACATAGTGGTAACACCCAAATACACCCAGCCATCTCTCTGCCTCCAAATTCTTCACACCAAAAATGTACACCTAAATTCTCATCTAGACACCGTGAGCATAAAGTCCTCTACTCTGAATACACACAAATCCAACACACAAACCATTAAAACATAGAACATTACCTGCCTTTTCAAATGTATGCACACATATTCACAATATCTCACAGAACCGTCAAAATACACAAAACCACCCCCAGCACGCAAATACACACACACCATTCAAATAGGAACACATAACTATCCAGTACCCTCAGAATAAACCCAAAACCCACTATGCTTCTGTAATATACTAAAAACTCACCCATGTTCCCCTAAAAACACATTTCTGACACCACTGAATACTTAACCTACCTACATAAATATATATCTTAAATATATAACACATATACATGACACAGAATACAAATACCCAAAACAGATACAAATCCCCAAAATGTGTTAGTATAAAAATATCCCACACCTGCCAATGCCTCCCTTGTCACACACCAGCCTTCACACACCTAAACACACTCCCTCATCAACTCCCCATACTCCTTAGTGAAATATAAACACAGCAATGGAACATGTTCTGAATGTATACACAATGGGGCAGATGTATCACTATGAAGAGTATTCATGGTCTTTCTCTGTGGTGTCTCTGTCTGAGAGATTATACATCCCTAGTCTGTTTAACTCGAGTATGGCCACATGACTTGTTATGGCAAATGAAATGTGATCAGAAATGCCATGTATGACTCTGAGCAGAAGAAGTCCTTCTAGTCCTGTCCCAAATGAGGCCGCTTCATCCATCTGGATCCAAGGCACAGGACCAGTAACTGATCAAAGCCAACCAATGGAGGACACATAACATACATGAGAAACCTACCTTGTTGGAAGTCACTGAGATGCAGAATTATTTTCTTACATCAGATAATCTGAGATATTTTGATGGATACATACCCCACCCACCAAAACATAGAGAAATACCACACTGCACACACACACACATACACATCCTCTCAAAACTCCCCAAATATGTGTCCTCCATTATCTACAGTTAGAAATACACATCTACAACCTTCCATGATCCAAATAAATGCACAGACACACCAACTCCCAGTCTCCAAATGCATATATTAGACACTCCAACCTTCTCAGGCCAGCTGCATAAAACCTGCAGAAGCTATGAATTCACACATGCCTCATCCCACCAGAATTCAACACATACTTCACATAAACTTACCCTCCTTCAAATACATGTACATGCTCCCTACACATACTCTGAATATCCACATAAACTACCCACAGTCTAGAACACATATAATCCAAAAGAATCCTCACATTATACACAAAACTCCAACTCTACCACAAACATATGTGGTGGCTTTCCTCCCTAATACATATACAGCCGCTCAAACTCCCTAAATTCATACATACAAACTCCAACTTTGTATGCACAAAGACACACTACCCTAAACATACAGACCTCCACCTCCTACAATCCTGAACACACAGACACATGCATTTGTCTTCCACCCTCAGACTACAAATGAAGAAATGGATTCAAGCTGAACAGAGGCAGACTGTGGTCGATGCAGGCATCAGCCACCTAGATCCCTCCTTGATGAATGACTTGTTTCACCATTTGCTGGGAATACTGTTGGAAGATAGACTTGGCTCTCAGGCCCTCCCAGGGTTGCTTCAGCTATGGAGAGCACCCGTGCTGAGTTCTCTCCTCTTTCTGGGGAAGCTTCATATGCAGTGGCTAATCCAAGCAGGTATAAAGCGGCTGACTAAGGACAGTTCTATTGAGACACTTTAGTCCCACAGCAGCAAATGGGGTCAGGTGAGACTGTTTGGGGGCCCGAGTCATAGTTTAACTTCTCCAATGCAACTATGCTCCCTTTTTTCACTTTTTAAAAAGCAAAACATTATACTCATAAATTCTCAGGGACTGAACTAAGGGCACCCAACCTGGGACCACATTCTTTGATTCCTTCATTCAATGATTATTTTATTTTTTTATTTTTTTTGAGACAGAGTCTCGCTCTGTCACCCAGTCTGGAGCACAGTGGCGCAATCTCGGCTCACTGCAAGCTCCGCCTCCTGGGTTCACGCCATTCCCCTGCCTCAGCCTCCAGAGTAGCTGGGACTACAGGCACCCACCACCACGCCCAGCTAATTTTTTGTATTTTTAGTAGAGATAGGGTTTCACCATGTTAGCCAGGATTGTCTCAATCTGCTGACCTTGTGACCCGCCCACCTCGGCCTCCCAAAGTGCTGGGATTACAGGCATGAGCCACCACAGCCGGCCCATTCAATGATTATTTATTAAGCATCAACAAATACAATGATGACTACTCTCTTACGGAGACTATATCCCATGGAAGTAAACAGATAATAAATAAATATACTATGAATACAAACACGTACACACAGTTTCCTGGAGATGTTCAGTCAGCAATTAGATTAAGCAACTGAGGCTCTGTAGAGACAAGTGAGGGGCTAAAAATATAGATTTGAGGAAAAATGCAAAGGAGAGAGTACATTCCCTCATATAAAATTGTTTCTGCTGGTGAGGTTTCCTGCAATTTTGGCACGAGGCATGCATTCGTTTTCAGGTCTATCGGTTATTTACTGTGGTAATACTGTAGATCGGCAGATTACTGCAGAATCCAATGGACTGAAGCCAGAAGCATTCACATCAGGCCTCTGAGGGTCAGTGATTTGGCTTGGCTCTGCTGGGTTGTCCTTCTGCTCCAGTCTGTTCTGCCGTTCTTTGTTGCCTCCTTGGTACAGACACTGTAATGGGTGCCCCAGAGGATTCTAAGGTGAATAGGTCAGCTCCCTGTGTCTGAGGTTTAAATCCTGTAGGAGCAGAGGTTTCCAGCATTAATTTTGCTACGAGACAGAGGTTGAAGTTGGGGATTTAGGGGCAAGAGCAGGGAGCCCATGCTCCCCTGGGGCCATCAGAAGAAGGGGCTCTGAGTGTGGATGGGAGGGGGCCTATACTAGGGAAATGGGCAGTTATGTTCCATATGGACTAGTAATCACATTAGCTAACAGTTATGCCATATGCACCTACAGTACAGCCTTCACTGCTCCAAGCAATTTACATGTATGAATGCCAATCTTTATAACCCCGTGGAGTTAGCACTATTATCCTCATTTTACAGATAAGTAAGCTGAGGCTCAGAGAGGTTAAAATACTTGCCCAAGGTCACAAAGGTCAGGTATACACTGGGGCTTCTGGGATTTGAGCCAGCAGTCTGGCTCCAGAGCCTGTACCCTTGACCTGACCATGGCTGCCCCTTGAGAAACTTCCCTGCCACTAGGGGAGTGCTGAGTGCAGAGAAGACATGTCATACAGGAAGTAACATTCCAGTTACATCTTCTGGCAATGAAGCTCCCCCTACAATAAGGGGTCCTCATGGGGGAGGATCACCCAACCACAGCCCTTTCCAGTGCCCACTGTCAGCACAGCAGCTGTGTCCTTGCTGGTAGAACACCCCATCTCCTACCACCTGCTTCCCAAGCTGGGCCTGGGCTTGTCCCTCCTGGGATACCTCCAGTTACATTTGCCTCCACCTCGCATTAGGAACCTTGGGTGACTCCCAAGAGAAGGCCCTGGTCTCCTTAAATATCCCAATTCTAACCTGCAGACACCATGGACATACTTATTACTCAAAGGATGGTTGAATAAAGTCTTGATCTGCAAGAAGGACCTAGACCACTGAGCCCCAAGCTGACATTCCCCCAGTGTTCCCTACTTACAGCCCCAGGAAATGGGTCTGGGCAAGGAAGGAGAGGCTGGGGACTCTTGTGTGTAGCGGGGCTTCATATGCGCTGACATGCCCCCTCCACCTCTTTGTGCAGTCAAAGCCTGCCTCCCACTCCATTCCCGACCCCCAGCTCTCCCTGCTCTGTTCCTAGTGTCTGCCTGGCTGGCCCATTCTGCCTTCCCTGGTCAGCCCATTCTGCCTTTCCTGGTCTTGCCCACTAAGCCTCCTTCCTTTGACCCTAGACTCCTGCAGTGGGCATCAGAACAGCCTCCTTTGAAGGGGCAGTTCCTCAGTGGCCTCACTGTTTCCTTCTGAGTGTTCTCAGACCCACTGCTGTGTCACTATAGGGCACCAGGGCCCAGTGAGGACTGAGATGGGAACATATCCTTTTTCCTATCAGCTCCTGGGAAACAGAACAGTCAGAGGCTTCTAAGGGGCTGGACAGAGGGGCCACTCAGCACACAGTTGAGGATATCTTCTGTTCATAGAGAGAAGGGGGTGGTGCAGGATACATTTCATGACATACACTCCTCAAAAATATTGAGCCCAGAACAAATGGCTTAGGCCAACCTCAGCAATTCTAGCAATTGCCATTCATGCAACCTGCATGGGAGATTTTCTGTGCTGATTCAAGACCAAGAGACACATGTACTTCTCCCCTAAAACTCAGGATCCATGACTACCCATTTCAAAACAAAGAAATCCAAGAAGATCTACCTGGTATACATTACAGTGCATTTTTTTAAGACATATATTATAAAAGCAGACAGAGCTCCATTCTGCCAATGAAACACAATACAACTAGTGCAACATACCCTCATTATGTTAGGGCAGGACATGAGGGGGCAGCAAGAACCACCAGGAATCCATTTGTACCACAGGGAAGTGGCTATTAGAACATTAAAGGAAGTGATGTTGGCACATTTTATTGGCGGGAGGATTCACCACGAGGAAGATAAGGCCAGAAGGCGACTCCCGGTAAGGAGCAAGGCCCACAAATCCTCGGGTGAGTCTGAGGGAGGAGGTGGTGGCTGTGGGGTCAGCAGGTGGACACCTGCATCACGTGGCTCCCTCTGCTGGGCTTGTGGCCCCATGTGCAATAGAGAAACTAATGGAAGGTTGGGTGACCCAATCAGAAATATGAAGCTGGCCAGGCGTAATGGCTCACACCTGTAATCCCAGCACTTTGGGAGGCCGAGGCAGGTGGATCACCTGAGGTTAGGAGTTCGAGACCAGCCTGGCCAACATGGCAAAACCCCGTCTTTACTAAAAATACAAAATTAGCTGGGCTTGGTGGTGCATGCCTGTAATCCCAGCTACTCCGGAGGCTGACGCAGGAGAATGGCTTAGAACCCGGGAGGCGGAGTTTGCAGTGAGCCGAGATCGTGCCACTGCACTCCAGCCTGGGCAACAGAGGGAGACTCTGTCTCAAAAAAAAAAAAGAAAAGAAAAGAAAAAAAAAGAAACATGAAGCTGAGATGCGCTTGCCACTCCAGGGGCATCCTGAGCCTTTGGAAAGAACCCGTTGACAGGGTTCTCAGAAACATCAGAGCCACATTTTCTCAGGGGGGCTTCCCTGTCTCTCCAGAACCCAGCTCCCAGCACTCCTCAGGACAGAGCCTGCCCAGCTCTGCCCGTGTCACTTCACTGACCCCCACCCCTGCCAGGCTTCTCCCATACCCGCAGGGCCAGCACCCAACGTGCTGAGAGAATGGGGTCCCAGAACCAGATGAACACATCAGGGGAAACTGAATCCATTCTCTCTTGGGGTCCTGAGCCTCCCAGTGACAGAAGATCCAGGAGATGCGAGTGGGAGGTCGCCCTAACAGGATCTAACATCATGCTCCAGATTGCTGAAGGGACACAGATCGGTGCCTCCTCTCCTTGACTCTACCCTCCTCACTCCTTAGCACCAGGCCTGGCTGTACATCCCTGCCAAGGTGCAACTAAGACCTTTGCCTGCAGCTCAGGAGTGCCCCCGACAGGAGCACAAGAGGAGGCTCATCCCCACCCACAACCCAGGCCGGAGCGAATCTGGCTGCCCAGGCTCTGTGTCTGGCTTCTGCCCCAGGACCTGAGCCCGTGTAAACTCAGGCTTCCTTGGCCTGCCCTCCCCAGGCCCAGGTTCTAAAGGTTGCTCCCCACAACTTCCTTGTTGCTCCTCCACTTTGTCCCTTGAATTACAGCCCAGCTCTAGGCGGGACTGTGAAGCTCTGCCCAATGCTTTCCACGAGAAGTCAGATTCAGGCCCTTGTGCCTGAAGATTCCTTGTGAAGAGCAGATGACACCTTCTCCAAGAGCAGCTAAGGAATCACCTTGGCTCCTCAGGCTGAGTATACATTTTCTGTACGGAACTTCAGAAAGAAATGGTCAACATTCATTCCTCACTTCACCAGAGAAAGAAGAAAATGTCACGTGCCTTTGATTCCCTCTTTTTACCAAGACTCCACTGAGATAAAACTCCTAACACAGAAGCCAACACGTATTCTCAACACTGGGTACCTGCTGGAGGTCCTGCCTTAGCCCCGAAGCCTCAGGTTTCCATGGGGACAGGTTGGTTGAGAACTGGTGGCCCAGCTCTCAGCCTGACACCCAACAGTATCCCCACCCAGGGGGCAGATGGTAGTGCAGGCACAGGTTCTGCAGGCTTTCATCTCATGGAACGTATGTTAGAGGGTGTCCTTGTCACTCGCCATGCCCCAGAGGAATCAGCAGGGACATCAGGACTGAGAGAAGACATGGCACATCTGACCTCCTGTCCTGGAAACCCCACATCTTTCTGACTGTGCTGATCACACGGACAATATCTAGAAAAGTTCTGCTCTGCACAGTGTTCCGTCTACCAGGCCCACCCATCTGAGGACCCAGATGCTAGGAACACAGATACTGAAGGAGCAAACACCTGCCTAAGGTGCAGGTACCCCTGCATCCATCTGTGGGAGGAAGAGCAAGAAACTACCATTTATATGGATTCTTTGGCCCTAAGAATGAACCAACTATTTAGGAGTAACACAGTGATGCAGAATGACCAGGGAGGGTCATTCTCAACCATGCTCCCTGGTCATTCTGCATCACTACAATACACATAGAATCCCCAGAATACACAACCATTAAAGCCTCAATATTCTTGCTTCATACAAACATTTGCTTACAGATCCTGAACACACAAACACACACACACACCCGCCCCGGGGTGTGTTACTAACTGCTTAATAAAATGCTCTCCAGGGGGACATAGGAAAGCCTAGAATTGTGATGCTTATGTGGTGTAAATATCTCAGCATGACTAATTTTAAACTACCAACCTAACGCCACTGAACACAGAGATGAGAAGAGATGTGCCTTGCCCAGTGGCTACCCCAAGCTAGTACAAGCCAGCTCCAGCACAGCCACATCCTTTCATAGGAATACGTGTACACAATCTACCTGCACCCTGAGTAGGACCCTCAACTCTCACCCCAAATATAAAAACAAAACCAAACCAGGTACCTCCAGAAGACAACCTCCTCATATATCCTAAACAGACACACACAACTGAGATAGGATAGGGTGGTCATAGCCTCCATTAAAGGAGAACAAACTTGCTAAACAGATGAAGAGAACAAACCATCCGACAGTGCACAAGGAGGTCCTGCAGTAAGGAGGTGGAAAAGAAGAAGGGAAAATCCCCAAATTCACACAAGTGCAAAAACCCATGATTAGTGTCCCTGGGTTGACCAGTGCTCACTATAACAGTGAAAAACACACCCTTGGGTAGAGATTTAAGATGTTAATGATTCACCTGATATAGGCACTAGCATGTGCAGCAATAGCGCATGCATGTCCAGAGAACAGCCCAGAGAGTGCTTAACAGTGACACCCCTTCCCACCCCTTCATGAATAGTCATGTAAGGCTCCCATAAAGGAGGTTTCCCCAGTGTCAGTCAATGCTGTCTCACCTTTCAGCAGCCCACTCTGATCGGCTGTCAGAGTGTACATTCACTTTGCAGTAACCTCTCTTGCTTACTTTTACATTGGACTCACTCTCAAAGTAAGACTTCTTTTGTGCAGCAAAGTCAAGAACCTGAACCAGCCCACCAGCAACACAACTGCTACCTGTACCCTAAATACACAGATGGCCTGCCCAATTATTACTTAAATTTGCAGACAAAACTCTACCCACCCCAAATGCTCACCTCACTGCTAAAACCATATATGTATATATATACGTGCCCAAATACAAACATGTTCAATGAACACAGTACCCATATATACCCATATATACTGTGAACCCTGAAAGGGCTGATCATAAGTGGCTAACTGGGCCTAAACTCAAAATGGAGCCAAGCAGCCATTTGCTGACTGCAAGTCTCACACATTTACCCTGCTTCCTGCAAAAACCACATACTTGTGTCACTTTGGGACTTTCACAGCTGTCTGTTCCTGTTTATGTCACCTGAATCAAGGGGTACCATTTCATCATATGGACTTAAGAAATAGACTGTGACTTGCATCAGCCAATCAGAAATAAACAAGCTTGTATCCCTCATTTGCAGAGTGAACCAGATTGGGAATCTGAGAACGAATTTCTCTGTAAAAGATAATACCTCTCTTTGTTCTTTCAGAGTGTACCTTTGTTTTGCACTGAATGCTGGGACTCCTTGATTTGCAAACAGCTCAGTGGAATCAAATTTCTATTTTTTTCTTTTGTTGTTTTTTTAAGAAAACCCTTTTCAGTAGATTTGTTAACAGTACATAATGAAAATCCTATAGGCATAGGCTCAAAAAAAAATCACAAGGTATACAACACTTGTGTCATGCATCACCCAGAAAAAGAATCACATACAATCCCACAGCTCTAAAATATAGGAATCCATGATTCTTGAATCCAAACACAACCTACACAGCCTCTCTGTTTCCAAATACATGCACTGAACCTCCCACATCTCCCAGAATACAAAACACAGAAGCCACATAAACTCAAATACACACAGAACCACAAACTATTTTTATCAAATACATATAAGTCCACCTCACAAACTCTGAGAACACAGATACAAGTGGCAACACCAAATTCTGCGAGTATTACATTTCACAACAGACACAGAGGACCACTAAGTCTTAATATACCCAAAACCCCTCTTATACACACTCACAAACTACCCATGAATACACACCTCACCCTCCCAGGTAAGACCAATACAAAAAAAAAAAAAACACAAAAACACCAATAATGCTCTAATATACGCACATAACTTTCATATACCCATGGGCACATACAAACTCACAAAAATATCCCCAATCCCTGAGTGTATAAATCCCCCGAAACACTATCCAATCAATATGCTACATCTCCGGAATACAACCTCCTCACCTCATCCCCTAAACATGCCCAAACACGTGTACGAACATCCTAGCATTCTCCAAAGAAATACACTTTAAATACTAACAATCCCGTATTCTATAAACCGACTTAGATAATTCATCTATCTGCTGATAAATATACACACAAACCAGTATACACACCCAAGATGCACAGAAATATCTCCAGCATATCATTTATAAATACCCATAAAAACACTTCCCAATCCCAAATTATCCCAATCTAGTATGAACCAGCTCCCACATTGCCAAGTACTAACCAATAACCATATCACATACCTCTGATACATATAAATTCAACTCTCCCACTCTCCTGTATAAAAAGAGAACCCCATCTCTCTATCAGACACACACATACTAAATTCCCAGAATATATAACCCTAATAACCACTTACTGCAAAACACAAGCACATAGCTCCACAAAACCTACATCTAAACTGCCACGCCCTTGAACGCACACACAAACTCAATACTCATGTAGTTCTCTACATGCCCTAAATATACCCGCGATTAACTAACACGCCACAAATATGCAAACATGCCACCTCATATCCCCAAATACACATACAGTTCCACAATACTGCCCGGCCCAGTTATGACCTTCTTTAATCTGCAATCTCCACACAGACACAACCAACCCACACACGTGAATACATATTAGATTCTCACCAATTAAATACATATCAAATTCCAAACTAAGAATTCATATAAACACATTTTCACATACACAAAACCACCCCCACAAATCTCACACCCTCCAAAATCCAAAATAAATCTTCCTGACATTCTCAAGTACACACTAACCCAACCACCCAAGATACACACGTATGTGCAGTAAATTTTAGATACATGTGTAGCCTACAATTTACAAATAATATACCACTACTTTTTATTTGTAAATTCCACATAAGTAAGCGATTCTCATGGGAGCTTTTCTTGACTTTGGCCACACTCTTGCATCCACAACCAACTTGTGCTACCAAGTGAACAGACTATGACTAAAGGCCTGTTCTTCCACTTTGCAGCTGCTCATATCAGTGACAAATCAGCGTATTAGAACAAGCATGCTGGCTGATTATTCTGATCAAGTCAACAAGCTTCACAACTCACTCAATGAGGTCGTCCATGAGAACTTCACTGTTTTACCAGGACAGGAGCTACTTCTTTGCTGAACTGCATCACGGTTTCAACTGCTGAGGTTTTCTTCAAGCTTTTGAATTGTTTGGAATGTGAAAGGCACGGCTGAGACACACTTTGGCATTCCCACTGCATTGTTACACCTCCCCCATCACTTCAGGTCCAGGTGAGCAAGGGAAAGGAGCGCAGCCTGGGTGTCCCGCAGGGCCCCCGCTAGGAAAGCTATGAACGATCCCGCCTTTGAGCGCAGCCACAGGCCTGCTCTGGTCACAATGTGGGGTCGCCCCGCGGACACCGGTGACCAGTGGGAGCATGACCAGGAGGTGATTACCTTCTAATCACCCTTGGTTTTATTTTTAGGTAACATCAAGGAGGACGCCATGAGAGCGAAGGCCGTTGGGTAACCGCCCTTTGCTCTCGTGCTGCGCATCTCCCTGCCATAAACCGCCGCAACCGGCACTGGGAGCGGTTGAGGGCGGCCGGCCTCACGCTGGGAGCGGTTGAGGGCGGCCGGCCTCGCGCTGGAACCTCACCCGCCTCAAGGCTCGTGTGGCAGCGCACGGGGCAGGCCAGGAGCCCGCCCTGGGAAGGCCCCGCTGGAGATGTGGAAATGGAGGGAGGCAGCACCTGGGCGCTTCCTGGGGCCAGACAAGCCCCCTCATTGGAACCTCCATGACCATGCCTCTGAGAAACCAGCGCGTCCACAGCGACCACTCCTAATTTTCGGTAATACAAACCTGCAGTCCATGCACTTAGGTAACACCCTTGCTGAAAGGTTTACCTTTGGAGGGTTTATCCTAAAGCAAGGTATCCTCGAATTGCATGTCTTGCATTCCCTTTGGACGGCATTTATTTCATTCCTGCTCATGCCTTTCAAAAAATAGTATGCCCTGTTTTCCTACTCAGTCTGGAGGTTCCATTGAAGAATATTTCTGGCAAATAATTTTAGACCTGAAAACACACTCCAAAATATACTTTCTTCTGACTCCATTCCCAGAGTTTTTCCTACCGCATTCAAATGATTTCTAGAAATGTTTTTGTTGTAGCCTTGATCAATTTCAGTCGATAAAGCAGCAGATAGTAAGGGAACAATTCCACGCTCCCCACCCCTGACTCTGCAACACAGTGCAGAATTCCAGTTGGCAATAAAAAACTAGTAGAGAAGCAATTCACTGACTTAAGTTTGTAACAGCTTCAGAAAAAACTTTAATCGTACATCCTTTCTGCTCATTTGCAGGATTCCTATCGTCTGTCTCCACGTGATAACACTGAAGAGCCTTCACGTTGATGCAGGCCCAGGGCCTCAAGTGCAGAGACTGAGAGCTCTGCAGGACACAGCATGGAGCTGCCATTCCTCTACTGGGTGGAGGAGCATGTGTCCTCTGAACAGGGGATCGAAGCCCTGAGATGTTCTTTCTCAGCTGTCAGTGCGGCCAAGGACTTTCTGTGGGGATGCTCACAGAGCAGGGGCCAGAGGACTTTTAGCCACCACCTCCCATGGCCAGTCTTCACAAATTACCTTTGGCTAATTTGATTGTCTCTCCTCCTGGGGTCTAGGACTTCAAACATGTACAGAAGCAATTGCAGAATTAAGACACTTCCACAATATATTTTTTGTATCACTGGCTCAGAAAAAGTCTCATTCAAATCCTGTATCAAAGCCATGTGTGACAATCTTGAGAAACCATCAGTTGACTGACTTGACAAGGGAGGAAGCAACCAAAAATTCTGCCCTTCTTCAGTATCTGAGTATGGTATTTTGCTTCAACATCCCTCTTAGATGAAGTTATTGATTGAAAATCATTTAAGTTTGCCCCATGGTAAAAGATCAAGTCCTCAGAAAGATCTCCAAAGCGTTTATGGTTTGTTTTGTTTTGTTTTGGTAAGTTTACCATGATTTTGCTTGAATTGCTCTCCGTTGATCTTCTCAGCTAAGATTGAGGTAGAGTTGCACAGCAGAAGAGGGCTGCATGTACCTGGGGTACAAGGATTGCTTCCTAAACAATGATAAGCACACAGCCACCTAATAGTCTGGATCGGCTGAGACCATTCTGATTTCAAACACCCAGTCCCCTTGCCTTCGTAAGAACCCCTGTGTTTCTCAGACTGAAGATGTGTTTTGAATTTTGTTCACGAAGTGAGGCCACTGTTGAAACTCGTCAAGACTGGGAAAGAGCCAAAGTGGGAAGGAGCATGGGTTGACTGGCACAAAAGTAGGTCTGTTGATAAAGAATGGAAGTAAAGGGGACATCAGGTAGAAGCTTTTGCTGTGAGTCAGAAGGACAATTTAAAAGTTGCCTAAAGAGGCACATGCCATCTCTGCTGCTGCCTTCCAGTTGGAAGGGAAACTCAGGTTCTTGCCTAATGGCTGAAGCCCTTCACAGAATGTCCCCCACCCCTACCAGCTGCCCACTGCCCCTCCCCCTCTGCAGAATGTCTGGGGTCCTATGTTCCAAAAACCTGTTTACATTCAAATTTTAACTGCTTCAGTTGGACTCAGGAGCATCTGCTGAGCCAAGTCACTCTCTGGGTCTTACCCTTGGCTTTTCTCATTGCGGAAACTGCCAGACAGCGGTGGTCAGTGCCCAGCCTGAGGGGATGGCTTCAAATGGAGGTAAGCCTATAGGGATGGGGGCATTATCTGAGTCTGCCATGCCTCAACTCCTTAGGAATTCAAATTTGATACTGCCCCGGGGACAGTTGATAGGGCTGATGTTGAGGAGGGAGGGAAGACTGGATGTCCCCAAGGACATCACACCTGGGGATGGCTATGGCACCCTGAGTCTGTGTTTAGGGAGGACGGCCCCTTAGAGGTGGAACAAGATGCCTGGGTAATACACCGTGTAGGAGAAAGGACAGAGTGGATTGATCCTTTCTAGAAGGAGACAGGTCACATCATTTTGTGTTTGTAGGGAGTGGTGGGATCATGTTGTGCTGGTGGCCCCGGGAGGATGATAGGCAAGCCTGAACCCTGTGCCATATCTTTAGGCACCTGGAAGGTGCCCTTCCATAGTGTTCAGAGAGATTTGGGCTGGAGTTTTCTAGATCTTAGGGAGGAGTGGGGAGAAGTGGTCTCAGCCAGAAAACTGTTGGGTGGGTTGGCTGTGACAGAGCATGTAGTGACAGCCCCTGTGTGGGCGAGGCTGGGGGCAACTGTAACTGCCACAGCCCAGAGCCCCTCAGCTCTCTCCCTAGAGATGGCTTCTCCATCAGTTCAGGTAGCTGTTGGCTTTGATTTAACAGGGGTGGGGGCAGATGAGGAAGTTCAGGCAACACAGGGCCTGGGTTTCTTGAATTGTTCTGAATTGTTTGCCCTGTTGTGGAAGCTCAGGTCTTCAGACCCACTTCCTCTTGTCTGCTAGCTCATGGCCTGTCCTCTGCACTTTGTGTTACTGTGGAGATGAAGAATTTGCTCCTATTCCATTTATACTACCTCATGAACGGGGGGCAGGTGTGGATTCTTGCTGGTTCTCAGTGGAAGGGTCTGGAAAGTCTGGTTTCCTTTTCAGCAGAGGAAGGAGAGTAGCACACAAATAGGAAGATGGTTCTCTTATTATTATTATTATTCAAGTTAGGATATGTGTCCTGAATGATGAGGTGCATGTGCTGTATCCCTTATTCCCCTTGACTAGAGACTGCATGAGGTCCTATTGAACAGGGATGAGTTCCAGACAACTTTGCCTCACCCGGCCCATGGCCCAAGAACCCCTGGTTTTTGGTTGGTCACTATGTTCAGTTATTGGGAGCTTAAAGGAGAAGGACCAGGGATGGGCTCCTTGTCCCACTACCTATTGTAACATGACCAGCAGCTGTGAAAATCCCTAGACAACTCCCCTGATAGCCCTGCTGCTCACCATTTGCTGGCTGTGTTCTAATCGTGTGTGGCTTTTGCTGGCTATGCAGTGACACTGTTTCAGGGGACTCCACCACTGCCTCTCAGACCTGCTCCCTGGGAACAGAGCTTCCTGAGTGGCAGCCGGGACCATCGAGTACTGCGGAAAGGGTGGCCTGAATCTGACCCCTATTTAGCACTTGCTGTGGGTGGTGCCAGGACAATCACTTGCATGCTGGGCATGACGAGTTATGGATTATCTTCAGGGTTCCTAGGGCGCTGGCTTGGGAAAGATTTCCATCCAGTGGTTTTGTTTTGTTATGTCTGAGCTGGGAAAGAAAGGGGTTTACAAGAGCTTCAGGAAAAGGAAGATTGAAAAGGAGATGGGGCCATAATATTCGGAAGCTTCTGGCTTCCTGTCGGCCTTCTGAGTGCCGAGTACTGCCCTGGGGTAGGCCCCTCACCTGTTGCTGAGCACGCTGAGGACCACCAGGCCGCTGAGAGACTCATCCCTGACCCATGGCTTGGGAGATGCCTGTGAGGCTGACAGGGTCTGCCAGGGACAACCGAGGGAGACCCTCGGGCAGCGAAGGCTTGGCTGTTGCTTCTTGGGAGACAGGGGTCAGGGAGTCTTGGTGACCGGGGCCAGGCTCTCTAGTGGAGTGACTCTCCATGGAGGAACAGAGCATCCGATGCACACTCAGGGACATTTGCAAGCTGCAGTTTCCCTATCATACGCCCTTAGCTGTTGGGACTCCCCTCTGATTCTCCAGTGACTAGTGTGGACCTGGAGACCCCAGCTCATTCACCTCTTTCCTTTGTCTCCACAACATACCCAGTGCTGGGACCGGGCGTGACCGTGAACCCTGGTACCTCCCTGTCTGTGTTCACGGCTCTGCCCTTCACCACACCCGCTCCTGGCCCAGCACACAGGCCGCTCCTTGTGACTGCAGGGGTTCCTCCAGGCGGCCCTCTGGTGCTGTCTACCTTCCCCAGCACACCTCTGGTGGCAGAAGAGGATGGCTGCGGCCCGAGTGGGGCCGGGGCTTCCAACGTCTTTGTCCAGATGAGGACAGAGGTGGGGCCTGTGAAGGCCGCTCAGACACAGACCTTGGTCCTAACTCAGGCCCCCTCATCTGGCAGGCTCCAGGCGCCCTCTGTGGAGGTGTTGTGTGTCCACCTCCCCTACTCCTGGCAGCTGCTCCTGTGGTGCCTGTTATGGCTGCCCAGGTGGTTGGGGGCACCCAGGCCTGTGAGGGAGGCTGGTCCCAGGGCCTTCCTCTTCCACCACCACCACCACCGGCTGCCCAGTTGCCCCCCATTGTGTCCCAAGGGAATGCTGGGCCATGGCCACAAGGGGCTCATGGAGAGGGCAGCCTGGCTTCCTCCCAGGCCAAGGCCCCACCAGATGACTCCTGTAACCCCAGGAGTGTCTATGAGAACTTCCGACTCTGGCAGCACTACAAGCCCCTGGCCCGGAGGCACCTTCCCCAGAGTCCTGACACCGAAGCGCTTTCGTGCTTCCTCATGTGAGTGTCCTCGGGGCATTGGAGCTGGTCCTGCAGCTCACACGTAAAGAGGCTGCTGGATGGACGGGAGGTCACGCTGTTCAGGGGAGCTTGCAGGGCGGTTGTGAGGGTGATGGGCTGCACTATGGGAAGGTACATTTTCAACAATATTAATCTGGCTGCGGCTCAGGACAGACTGTCAGGGGCCTCATCTCAACTGCCCGTCACTGTCCTGTGAGTCCAGCCAATCCTTACTTTCAATAATTTTTACAACAATGTCTACAGAAGACCCAGGTCAGAGAGGGTTCCTGGTGTGATGTGAGCTACGGTTTGGGTTTAGGTCTTTGAGTACACACCCCAGTGCCTCCCCTTTAACCCAGTATTGATGGCCAGGAGCACCTCACATGGGGCTGGGGGAAGGAGCTGCAGGGCCCAGCAGGAACCTGGCACATGCCCGCAGTTCCGCTGAGGTCCAGTTAGCACAGTGATGGTGGAGCCTGCACAGGGGGATGGTCTTGGGCCCTGCACTGGGGCCGATGCCGGGCAGGTATTTGCATCTTCACCCTCAATCCCTCCTAGAAAAAGGGACAATGATGCTTCATTCAGAGGATGGTGAAGAGATAACTTGAGCTCACATATGACATGCATAGCACAGTGCCTGGCACATGCTATGACATATTACATGACAGCATTATGATTACTGTCCCCATTACTATCATTATCAAGACTAGGCCGTCTAGGAGAGCACTCACCAAAGCCACGGGCTCCAGTGATAGCTCTGAGTGCACCATGAGTCCAGCAGCCCAGGGCCATGGACTGTGGTGACTGTGAGGCAGCAACGTCAGCATCTGGGAGAGTTTGTGGTTTCATTCCCAGTCCCTGCCTCTCTCCACCCTGCAGCGCCTCTGTGACCCTGTGTTTCCCGCTGATGAGCAAACGGGAGCTTGAGCACATCCACCGTGCAACACACTGGCCATTCCCCTAGGGAAGTCCCCTGCCTGGGGTGTAGGTGGAAGGTGGCCCCATCTTCATCCCCAAAAATCTCGCTGTTCCCGCACCCTGGAACTGGTTGCATTCCTCCTTGGAGCGGAGTCCCGGTGCACTGGGGACCCTGATTCTTGGGGTGGAGCTGCCCCAGGCTCACAGGCCTTTGCCATGGCTCCTGTGGGAATGTGGGATCTGGACCTGCTGCTTGCAGTGGCGTGGACACCGCTCTGCTTTGGTTCTGGACGTGTGCTCCTGCTCCTCATGCTCCAGGGCCCTGAGGCTACGTCCCCAGGGGCTGCCTTGCTCCAGAGTCCCCAGGAAGCCGGTTAAATGCTCAGTCTTGGGGCCCTGGAACCTGCACTTTAACCCTCACCCCCAGGTCATTCTGTGTGCACGCTGTCTCAGTCAGCTCAGGCTCTGCCGTAACGAATGCCATAGACTGGATGTTTTATCAAGACACATTCATGTCTCCCAGTTCCAGAGGCCAGAAGTCCCAGATCAAGGTGACAGCAGATTGGGTGTCTGGTCAGGGCCCTCCTCCTGGCTGGAGAGAGCTGTCTCTGGCTATGTCTCCTCGTGGCTGAGAGCAAGAGCCCTGGCGTCTCCTTCTGCCCTTATCAGGGCTTGGATTCCATGACTGGGACCCACGCTCATGACCTGCTTTAACCCTGATTGCCTCCAAATACTGACACACTGGTGCTGAGGGCTTCAGCACAGGAATGTTGGAGACACACATGTTCCACCCGTAGTACTGAGTCCACTTCTCAACACTGAGGACTCGAGGGGCAGTCGGAGAGGCCACTTGGTAGCTTGTGTTGATGTTTGATCTTGGGGGTGTGTCCTGGGGCCTGAGGAGCCCACATGGGGGAGAACAGGACAGGGACAGATGGCAGGACAGGTGTGGGGAGGACAGGGGCCAGGTGTTGGGACCAGGTGGGCTTGGGATGAAGGGTGGGCTTATAGACTGAGACTGACTGCAATGGTTTACAGCCCAGTTCTCCGATCTCTGGCCCGGCAGAAGCCCACCATGACCCTGGAGGAGGGACTGTGGCAGGCCATGCAGGAATGGCAGCACACGAGCAACTTTGACCGGATGATCTTCTACGAGATGGCAGAAAAGTGAGTCTGGGGTCCTGGGAGCAGGGCCCGCGTGGCAGGGTGAGAGTGAATGACAGAGGCCCGGTGGCCATGGTGGCTTCTCAACGTGGAGTATGAGGAGGGTGTGGAGAAGCCCAGGACACTCTGGGCCCCTGGATCCCTCAGGAAGCGGCTCCTGCCACCTAGAGTGTTCTGGGGTCTCTGTCCTGGCCTATTGGGAAGCACCCCCTGCCTGGCCTGGGGCCATCCCTGCCTTGACACTGGAGGTCATGGCAGGAGCAGCCAGTATCACAGCCCAAAGTGGGTCACCTCCAGCTGTGGGGATGGGGAGAAGGGGTGCTAGTGACTATGGACAAGAGTAGGGTGCAGGCTCCTCACAGCAGTGGCCAGAAGTCGGTTTTCTCCCATCCCAGCCTGGCCAGGGAGTTGGGTTGGGGAGATCTGCACCTGGGACACGATGGGACCCATCTCTGGCCTGACTGCCTTTGCTCCTGGGCAGTCCCCTCCATGAAGGCAGACAGATAGACAGCAGCCTCAGGGGAAAGGGGCCCTGTCCTCTGAGCTCAGCTTTTGCTTCCTCCTGACCAGGGGTCTCCCAGGCCTCATGCCCCTGGGTTATCTTTCAGGGGCCCACAGTCCTAGCCTCAGGACTCCTGCATCTGGGCATCATCCCTGATGCCTTCTGCCATACACCCCACCCCTGGCCAGCTGAAACCTGGAGGAGAGGTCCCCCGAGACCCTCCTGGACCTCGTGGCCCTGAGTTGAGTCAGGAAGCCCCGTTGATGCCATGGGCTCTGCGGGGGCTGGGTGAGGGAGGGTGAGCCCAGAACTCTGGGAGCAGCTTTCTCCTGGGACTGGGGGATGGGACACAGTGAGGGCCTGGACAGCCCACCGGAGGCACTCCCTCCTATCCCTGCCCTCGGCCACTGCCTGGTCCTGGGGGGAGCGGGCCTGGACCCTCTCAGCACAGCCTGGGCCTCCTTCACCCCCAGATTCCTGGAGTTTGAGGCTGAGGAGGAGATGCAGATTCAGAAATCGCAATGGATGAAGGGGCCCCAGTGCCTGCCTCCTCCAGCCACACCGAGGCTTGAACCTCGAGGACCCCCGGCCCCTGAGGTGGTCAAGCAGCCAGGTATGGCTTCCCATATTCCCACAGGAGCCATGGCAAAGGCCAAAGGGGCCAAGGGAGGCCATTGTCCCCACACCCCATGCTTCCCTTCAAGAGGGGGATTTGCTCCCTCCAACAGGACAGTTTCCAGGAGCATATGTTCGGTATTGACCTGGTCAAGTTTCCTAGCTACTCTCTCCCCTCGCCTGTCCAAAACTCCACATATGCTCTGCCCAGGAAGCAGGGATGAGCGGGGAGAGTACACGGCATATTGGTGGCTCCAAACTTCCTCCCAAGTGATGCTGTCTCAGATGTGCCCCTCCTGCCTCCTCTGGGGGCGCTGCGGTTCAGGTGGTCCTGACCCAGCTGGGACCCACTTCACATCCCCAAGCCCTCCCCTCCCCTGTGTGGTGCAAGCAGGAGGAGCGGCCCTCACCATGCCCGTCCTCCTCCCTCTCTGCCTCAGTGTACCTTCCCAGCAAGGCCGGCCCCAAGGCCCCGACTGCCTGCCTGACACCACCCAGGCCCCAGAGGCCAGTGACCAAGGCCCGCTGGCCACCACCCCGGCCCCACCGGCGAGCACAGACCAAGGCCCGCCTGCCACCACCCAGGCCCCAGAGACCAGCAGAGACCAAGGTCCCTGAGGAGATCCCCCGAGAAGTGGTGCAGGAGTATGTGGACATCATGGAGGAGCTGCTGGGGCCTTCCCTCGGGGCCACGGGGAGCCCAAGAAACAACGGGAAGAGGGCGAAGTGAAGCAGCCACAGGAAGAGGACTGGATGCCCCCAGACCCGGGCCTCCTGAGCTACATTGACAAGCTGTGTTCCCAGAAAGACTTCGTCACCAAGGTGAGCTGGCCTGGAGTGCTGGGGTCTGCTGGATTCCAGGGGGTGGCACTCCCAGGTCCTTGGAATTAAGCTTTGTTCCTTAGCGACTCAGCAGTGTGTGTATTTCCATGGATTTGAGAGTCTGTGTATGTGATTGTGTGTGTCTGTGTGTTGCTGTGTGTTTGTGTCTGTGGTTTGTTACTGTGTGTCTTTGTGTGTCTGTGTGGGTGTGAGTGTGGAGTGTGTACGTTACCTGTGTCTGTGTCTTTTCCTGTGTCATATGTGGGTCTGTTTGTGTGTCTGTGTGTGGTTTGTGTGTCTCTGTCTGTGTGTGTGTAGCTACCAGGTCTGTGGTCTGTGTCTGTAGCTGGTGGTCACCATGATATGAGACAGCCCCAGGAGGGTGGGGACGGGGTGCTCGCTGCTTTCTGCATCTCCTCCAGGTGTCCTTGGCTCCAGGTTACTCCCTGCCCAGGAAGCTCATGCCTTCTTCCTTCTGTTTCCAGGTGGAGGCCGTCATTCATCCCCAATTCCTGGAAGAATTGCTTTCCCCAGATCCACAGATGGATTTCTTGGCCCTAAGCCAGGAGCTGGAGCAGGAGGAAGGACTCACCCTTGCCCAGGTACCCCAGGGGCAGGAGGGACCTGGCACACAAGGCCCACCTGATTGTCTAATCCTGCCCGCTGGGGATGCTCGGCTTCTTGGGGAGCCACTCTGGAGTGGGAAGATGCAGGTTCAGAGGGAGTAGGATGGACAGGAGCCAGGGAGGGGAGTCGGCATGCAAGCTGTGGTGAGGCCCAACGGGATGCCCGGCAGAGCCACACCCTCTCTCTTTGACATAAAGCCCAGCTGCCTCAGGCTTCCCTACCTGCTGCCTAAGTGCCCTGGTCTCCACCACCCTGGGCCCTGCTCACACCTGGGGCAGTGCCAGTAAGTGCCCCCTTTCCTCCCGCAGCTAGTGGAGAAGCGCCTCCTACCCTTGAAGGAGAAACAGCATGCGAGGGCAGCCCCTAGTCATGGCACAGCCCGGTTGGACTCAAGTTCTTCTAAGTTTGCAGCTGGCCAAGGAGCAGAGAGAGATGTCCCTGACCCCCAACAAGGGGTTGGCATGGAAACCTGCCCACCCCAGACGACTGCCCGGGACTCTCAGGGACGAGGCAGAGCACACGCTGGCATGGCCAGGTCCAAAGACTCTGTTGTGCTTTTGGGATGTCAGGATTCCCCTGGGCTGAGGGCTGCCCGGCCAACCTCTCCTCCCCAGGACCACAGACCCACCTGCCCTGGCATGGGTACCAAGGATGCCTTGGATCTCCCTGGAGGGTCTCCTGTCAGGGAGTCACATGGGCTGGCTCAGGGGTCAAGTGAGGAGGAGGAACTCCCCAGCCTGGCCTTCCTCTTGGGTTCCCAGCACAAGCTTCTGCCCCGGTGGCTACCCCAGAGCCCTGTCCCTGCCTCGGGCCTTCTCAGCCCAGAAAAGTGGGGACCCTAGGGAACTCATCAGTCCCCATCTGCTGAGAGAAGAGGCCTCAACCTAGCACCTTCTCCTGCCAACAAGTCCAAGAAGCGACCTCTCTTTGGAAGCCTGTCCCCTGCTGAAAAGACACCCCACCCAGGGCCTGGGCTCAGGGTCTCTGGGGAGCAATCCCTGACTTGGGGGCTGGGTGGCCCCTCACAGTCTCAAAAGAGAAAGGGTGACCCCTTCATCTCCAGGAAGGAGAAGAAGCAGCATTGTAGCCAGTAGGGGCTTCTGAGCAGGCTCTCTGGGGCCAATCCCCAAGGATGGGGCTCTGGCATCCGATGCCCCAAAGCGGTCAAAACTTCTTCTCCCCCAGTGCTGATCTTGCTGGGCCTTAGCTTTGGAGGGTAGGGGAGGGAGGGGAGGGAGAGGGTGGCTGAATGGGGAGGGCAAGAAGGAAGGGTCTGGGGGGAAGGGGCTGGGGAGTGGGGGTGGGAAGCAGTACGTTGGGGGCCTCGTGTGTAAGTATGAATAAATGTAGTTGTTTTGGAAAATGCTCTTGGGGTTGCTGCCTCTGTCCTCGGTGCTGTGCTGCTCCGTGGAGGGTGTCTGTGAGGGAGGGCAGAGGAACTGGCAGATGCCAGGCTCTGGGAACCCACAGGGGCCGGCCCCACTCTTTCCTCCTGACGTAGGGAGCCCCTTCAGATGCTCCAGGGACTGACAGATGCTGAGGAAGCCCTGATCCCTCCCACCACCCACTCACAAGGCCCTGCCTGCTTTAGGGAGGCTTCTTGGGGCCCCCCATCATTATCAGCATCCCTGGAAAATCCTGGGATTGGAGAGAGCTGGCTGGCTCTTGTTCTGCTCGGTGGGAGCTGAGGAGAAGGCAGCCGCCTGCAACATGGACATGGGGAGAGGAGGCTGCTCCTGCTTAACCCTCATCAGGAAGAGCGCGGGCACTGGGCTGAGGGGAGACGTTGAGGTGACCATCCACACAGGTGTGTTTGGGATACAATGATGGGTGAGGAGCAGGGGAAGTCCTTCTGCCTGTTTCTGGGCAGGAGAGAGTCTTGTCCAACTAGCTAAAGCAGATGCTCCTTGCTGTGGCCACAGGGACTGGCCTCGGGGCCCTCAAGGTCCTGCATGGAGCCCCCCACAGCTATGATTCCCTTCCCATATGATGACTGAACTCATGTGGAATTGATGTAGACACAGATTTACATTGGTTTCTAAAACAGTTCCCTCCCAACACACCATCACCAATGGGAACAAGCATGTCCAGTCCATCAGGCGCAGGGTGGGTGTTTCTGCTGGTTCCAGGGCCCGGAGGAGCTGGGGCCCAGGCCAAGAGGGGCCGAGGGTCAGCCGCCCTTCTGCCAGGCACAGACCCCAAGGGCAGAGCAGGGGCTGCCTGGGATGTGGCATTGGCTGTCTGGGAAGTGCCCTGGGAGTTGGGGGCTAGGTGTTCGCCAAAGGGAGACTTCCAGAGTCTATGAGTAAGATGAGGACTGCATCAGGAGAGGGACCGAGGCTGGAGAGGATGCTCTGCTCTTTCCCAGGTTGTCCTGTCCTCCCAATCTCTGCTGAACTGCCCTCACCCCATGGGCCAACTTCTGCCCCCCTTACCCCTAAGCCACCTCTTAGAGTCTCAGATCCCAGCATGGACAGGACCCGGCACCCACCCTTGTTCCCTCCTGGCCAACACCTTCTTCTCCATGGTCTGAGTTCTGATTCCTCCCCCAGGGCGCTTATTGGCTCAGGACCCCTGTGACTGCCAGGGCACTGGTCCCAGCACTGCCTGAGTGCAGAGCTGTGGTCACGGTGCTGGGGGCTGGCCCAGCAGCAGAGGCTGGTGGGGCAAAGCTGTCTGGTACACGGTGGCCTGGCCCCTTGGCCAAGTGACAAAGGGAGCCATGTTTGGGTCCTCTCTGGCCCCATCTGCCCACAGAACACAGCAGTCAGCCTGACAGATGCCCCTCTGCCCCGTCCCTTCTGCTCGATGTGGGCAATGTCGGAGGCCTGCTGTCTTCTGTGGCCTTTGGGAAGGAGAGTTTATCTTGGCAGGGCTTCCCCAGCTCAGTGCACTTCAGGCCCTCGGGGAAAATGTGGGGAGCAGAGTCACTGGTGGGTAATGTGGGCAGCTCCCGTGACTCCTCTACATTCAGGGCCATCCTCAGGAGATAAGGTAGCACTGCCCCTTTGCATCGTTTAGGAATGTTAGTGAGCCATGTTTGAAGGGAACACGGTCCATACTCTGGCGTGTGTGGGTGCCCAGCCACCTTCCTCACCTAAGGGTGAAAGTGACACCTTGGGGCTCCTGCTGGTTACCCCACTGGCTGTTGTCTATCCCACTGTCCCTGTCCTTGTCTTGGCTGAGCCATTCCTAGGAAGCAGAACTTGTGCTTCCTCCACCTCTGTGTCCCACCTGAGCCCTACAATCTGCCCCTAAATGGGCACAGTGGGGCTGACTGGGGGGCTCTGGTAGACTGAACATACATCCCCCGCCCAGTTCCTGTGCTGAAGCCCTAACCCCCAACGTGATGGTATTTGGAAATGGGGCCTTTGGGAGTTATTCAGGGTTAGAAGAGACCATGACGGTGGGGCCTTAATGATGGGATTAGGGCCCTGGTAAGAAGCAGAGACCCCAGAGCTCTCTCTCTCCCTGACACGAGGACACAGTGAGAAGGCGGCCATCTGCAAGCCAGAGAGAGAGCCCTCACCAGAACCTTGCCCACTGGGATGCTAACCTCGGACTTCCAGCCTCCAGACTGTGACAAATACATTTCTTTTTTTAATATGTGCCACCACCCCCAAGTCTATGGCACTTTGTCCTAGCAGCCCTATGTGACTAGGACAAAGTCCATAATCTCAAGAACTTCCTTCATGACTGGTATCTGGAAACCGTGCATCAGAGCCACGGGAAAGAAAGGCTTGGCCCTTTACAACTGTCAGCACACCTCCATCCCAAGTGCAGTGTATCACACATGAACCAGGAGAGCCTGGGACACAGTGAAAAGGAATCTGTAAATACCCATGATGTCATCACATCCACACTTGGGGAAGCCATGCAGCTTGCTCACAGCAGCTTCTGGGGGTGTGCTGAGGCTCTTGGTCAGCTTGGCCTCCCTGCTCACACACCCAGGTCACTCTCTGGGAACAAGTGCGGCTGGGGTGGCCCCTGGCAGGTTTGCCTCCAGAGACCCCTCCCTTCACCATTGGATGACAGATCCCCGAAGAAGCCATAGCCTCCTGGGAAACTCCATCTGACAACGTGAGCAAGGCTTGCCCCCGTTAGTGAACATGCTGTGCTTTCTGACAGCTATGAGGATGGACTTAATACAGGTGGCTGCCCTTTTGTAGCTCACTTTGATTCTAACTTCAGCGTTGCATGATGCCCTATGAATGGAATATACAATGTGTGTCTTTCACATCTGTCTTCTTTCACTTAGAATAATATTTCCAATGTCATCTACATTTTTAGTATGTATCATTACATCAAACCTTTTTGTTGCTGAATAATATTCCATTAATGGATATACTAAAATTTATCCATTTATCAGTTAAGAACGTTTGGGTTTTTTTCACTTTTTGGCTATTGTGAATAACACTTCTAAGAACATTTGTGTACAAGGTTTCCTGGGGATGTATGTTTCCATTTCTCATGGCTACATACCTAAGAGTGAAATTGATGGGCCATATGGAAACTCTATGTTTAACCATTTCAGAAGGTGCCAGACTGTTTCCAGTGTACACGAACCATTTTATATACCCACTAGCTGTGTGAGGGTCCCAGCGTCTCTCCATATTCTAGCCAACATTTATTATCAACTCTCTTTTTGATAAAGTCATCCTAGTGGTTCTGAAGTTGCATCTCATCGTAGTTTGCATTTGTGTTTCCCTGATGTTGAACCTCTTTCATGTACCTATTCGCCACTTGTATATCTTCTTTGGAGCAGTGTGTACTCAACATTTAGTAATTTTTAACTGGTTTGTGTTTTGTCATTGAGTTATAATAATTCTTTATATGTTCCAGATAAAAATGCTTTACAAGATATAATTTGCAGAAATATTCTCCCATTCTATGGGTTGTCCTTTACTTTCTTGATGGTACTCTTTGAAGCACAAAAGTTTTTACTTTGGATGAAGTCCAATTTATCTATTTTCTCGTTTGTTACTTATGGTTTTGATGTCATGTTTAAGAAACCATTAACTAGTCTTAGGTCATGAAATTTATTCCTATGCTTTTTCCTTTTTTAAAAACCATCTTAAACATTTTAAATTGTGCAATTTAGTAATGTTATGTATATTCACATCATTGTGAAATTTAGATCTTTAGAAATTTTTTATCTTTCACAACTGAAATTTTGTACACATTAAATACTAATTTCCCCCCTACTCCCACCCCCGGCCCTTGGCAATCACTACTTTATGTTTCTGTGATTTCGACTACCTTAAATACTTCATATGAAGAAAAGTATTTGTCCTTTTGTGATTGGCTTATTTCACTTAGCATAATGTTCTTGAGATTGATCCATGTTCTAGCATGTGACATGATTTCCTTCTTTCCGTAGGCTGCTTAGTCTTCCATTGTATGTATATACCATATTTTATCCTTTCATCCACCAATGGATATTTGGATTGGATCTCTTGGCTACTGTGAATAATGCTGTAATAGGGATTGTATGGAATTTGTAAATTGTTTTAGGTAATATGGACATTTTAACAATATTAAGTCTTCAAATCCACATGCATGGAGATGTCTTTTCATTTATTTATATACTCTTTGGTTTCTTGTAGCATTGTTGTTTTGTAATTTTTAGTGTCCAAGTTGTTTGCCTACTTGGTTAAGTTTATTTCTAAGTATTTTGTTCTTTTTCATGCTATTATAAATAAAATTGTGGGTTTTTTGTTTTTGTTTGTTTGTTTGTTTATTTGTTTGTTTTTGTAGTAGAGACAGGATTTCACTATGTTGGCCAGGCTGGTCTCAAACTCCTGGCCTCAAGTGATCCGCCTGCCTCAGCCTCCCAACATGTTGGGATTATAAGTGTAAGCCGCCGCACCTGGTCTGAAATTTTCTTCTTAATTTCCTTTCCATATTGGTCATTGCTAATGTATGGAACTGCAATGGATTTTTGTGTGTTAATTTTGCATTTTGTAACTTTGCGGAAATCATTTATTAGTTCTTACAGGTTTTTGGTGGAATTTTTAGGGTTTTCTACATATAAAACCATATAATCTGTAAATAGAAATAATTTTACTTCTTCCTTTCCAACTGGAATGCCTTTTATATATCTTTTCCTTGTCTAATTGCTCTGGCCCAGTACTATGTTGAATAGAAGTGGCAAGAGTGGGCATCCTTGACTTTCTCCTGTACTTTGAGGAATAGCTTTGTCTTCCACTAGTAAACATAATGTTAGTTGTGGGCATTTCATGTAAGGCCTTTATTATGTGGTAGTATTTTCCTTTTATTCCTAGTTTGTTGAGTGTTTTTAATGATGAAATGGTGTTGAATTTTGTTGAATGCTTTGTCTGAATCATGTGGTTTCTGTCTTTCATTATATTAATGTAGTGTATGACTTGATTGATTTTTGTATCTTCACTCATCCTTGCATTCCAAGTATAAATCCAACTTGGTCATGATGTATAATCTTTTTTTTCTTTGAGATAGAGTCTCACTCTGTCACCCACGCTGCAGTGCAGTGGTGCAATCTTGGCTCACTGCAACCTCTGCCTCCCAGGTTCAAGTGATTCTCCTGCCTCAGCCTCCTGAGTAACTGGGATTACAGGCACCTGCCACCACGCCTGGCTAATTTTTGTATTTTTAGTAGAGACGGGGTTTCACCATCTTGGCTAGGCTGGTTTTGAATTCCTGACCTCTTGGCTCTGACATGGCAACTTTGCTGACCAGTACAGGGTGTTCTTGTCCAGGAGTCCATGGACCCTCAGGCAATCTAGCAAAATTTGGAGTCTGTGATGGGCTTGGAAATTTCAGTGAAGATTTGGGAGGGTCCTAACCCCAGCTATTTAAGAGCCTCTGCTTTAGATGGTGTGAGGGACCCAACAACCACATTCTATATAGCTGTCCTGGGCATGCTTGGTCTTCCCAGCAATGAATTTTCTGTGGTGTGGTCTCAGAGCTCACTTCACTCCACCCTGAGACTCTTGTACAGTGAAGTGCAAGAACGTGGCCAGGCCAATTGTCAGCAGTCAGCTCCTGGCCTGCCTAACTCAATATAGAGCATGCGTCCACCATGTGCTACTCTGCTGCCCAGAGTCATTGGGCTCATGAGCCAGATATAAATGCTGAGTCTGGGGCCTGCGTGCCCGAAAGGTCCTTTCCTCTCAGTTGGCCCAGGGAGCATCACACAGGGCACTCTTCTCCTCAGTCTCTCTCGCATCTCTCTGGCAGACAGGTGGTCACGATCGTCAGTGCTGTGGGGCCCTATTATTCCAGAGTAAATGCTGGAGCCAGACTTACCCTGTGGAAATGCATGAGGACGTGGGCTGTGGTGATGGGCACCCTCAGTCAGGCACCAGCTGTCCCGCGTTCCTGGCTTCCACCTCTGGGGCAGCTCCCTGACATTCTCTGAAGTCTGTCCACTTCGTTTTCTGTTACATTTGCCCTTGTCAGGGGGAGCAGTGGGCTTTGGCCTGTTTACCTAAGCCCTCATGTGTGTGCTGCAGCCTGGCTTGGGACACATTTGGTCTCCATGTGAAGACCGAGATTGCAACTTTCTGCGCTTGGAGCCCAAAAGGACAGGTGGGGCCTGAGGGATGGATGCCCCCATCCCAGGACAAGGAACTTCCCCCAGGAGAGCTGCTCATGGCCCCCTTTAACTCCCAACTCCCATGGAGGGGCTGACAGGGTCTCCCTGCAAGCTGAGGCTCTGAGCACAGGGACACCTGGGGCCCCACATACCAGCCCCATGAGAAATAGGGCCAAAGAGCCTCATTCCCCCTGTGAGTGGCTGGTCACCCACACTTCAGGGCCTCATCCTGCACTGATCTGCACCTGACATGCTGACTCTTCCTTGGGCTTCATCCCCTGGAGTCGTCCCCTATTCCTGGCTCCCATGCTGGTGGCCCTGCCTTCTCCCCCAGACACCCAAGGACTCTCCAGGCCATACCTCAGTGACAGCAGCTTTGCCATCCCACTGGCCTCAATCCCAGAAAAACTTAAAGAGAGAAAGGCCCAGGATTTTAAAAGGGCTAAGACTAATGTTACAGAAAATGGACTGTGAGATAAGGAATTTTCACAAGTATTCTCCAATTTATACAGAGAATGAAACAGAAATTATGGAATTCAAAGTTGCAAAAAACAACACTAAGAAATAGTGGTTTAAGCGGATGATGCTTTCATGGATTCAGGGAAATGACTGCTATCCACAGAGTGTGCAGAGGAAGTGCCTGGTCCTGGTGGGTAGCATGGCTGTGGCTCATCCAAGAGAATGAGACAGGGCTGGGCAAGCCTTATATGTGGAATTCACCAGAGTGAAGCTTGGCCAGTGATGCAAGGGAAGGACCATGATGCTGAAGGTATTGACTACCAATTTTTGCCACCATCAACCCTGATTCAAAGCATTTGCTGAAGAACCAGAGCAGACTGACAGTGAGATTTTGGGCCCCCAGGCCAGTCATCCCTACAAAATGAAATATTTCTCTAAGAACAGGACAAGGAGTCACCATTTTCCCAAACCACAGACCATATCTTAATAGAACAACTTTTTAAAAAGTTTTTATTTTATTTTAAAGTTCCAGGATACATGTGCAGAATGTACAGTTTCATTACATAGGTATACATGGGCCATGGTGGTTTGTTGCACCTATCAACCCATCATCTAGGTTTTAAGCCCTGCCTGCATTAGGTATTTGTCCTAATGCTCTCCCTCCCCTTGACCCTGACCCCCTGACCCCCTGACCCCCTGACAGGCCCCGGTGTGTGATGTTCCCCTCCCTGTGTCTATGTCTTCTCATTGAATAGAACAACTTTTAAAAATGTGCAGCTGGAGCAGCCTTGAAGGGAATTGGTAAGCAGTGAGTGGAGAGTGGTGTGTTTCAGGGAGGATTTGGACTGTCTGGCTTGCAGGTGACCCTCTTGTCCCACAGAGGCAGTCTGCCAGTAACTCATCAGGAAGCCCAGGTAGTCTTCCTCAGGCACTTCCATCATTCCTGGGATGGCAGAGATAAAAAGGGACTGGAAGAGATGGGGGCAGAGAACAGCCCTCACTGACAGCACAGAGCCCCACCTCTCCACACAGTCTCTGTCTCCTCTCCTCCTCTGCCCACACGGTGACTCCCAGCCGCTAAGATTCCTGCTTTCAGCAATGCCCCTGATAACACACCAAATATCTGAGGAGTTCTAAAACACCAACTCTTCACTGCCCAATAGCACAATGAAGAAATTGAGGAAAATGTATATGTCCCTGAATGTTGCTAATGGTCTAAGGGCAAACTGCTACTTATTCTGCATTATGTACTTCTTAGTTAATTGGGGTTAGGATGTCATTTTTAATGAAATGATGTTAATAGTGTTTGTAAAATGAACGATGTGCAACCCCATGAAAAACTCTGTGCTTTTAGAAGGAGTAAAGGAAGCAAGGAGGAGTGATAAAAATTTTGATTGTTGAAGTGGCCTGGGGGCAGGTTGAACTTGTCCAAGACTGCTTCCCTGCAGGCCAGCCTCCTTAAATGCTTCATGAATGCTCTCCATCACTGGGCGTAAGGTCATCAAGGCTGAGTTCTAGTAGAAGAGACATTCTAGAGGTCTAGAATGTCTTATACAAACACACTTAGAGACACCTGTTCTAGTAGTCCACCATTGCCTCCACTCCTTAGGTCTTGAAGCGAAATCATATTCATTCATTCTACAAGTATCTACTCAAGATGTGATATTTGTCAGGTGAGTGATGAGCACAGTGGTTGATAGGCAGAGACAAACAATAATAAAAAAATGAGTAATAAAGGGTAATGAAGGCTGGGCATGGTGGCTCATGCTTGTAATCCCAGCACTTTGGGAGGCGGAGGCAGGTGGATCACCTGAGGTCAGGAGTTCAGGACCAGTCTGGCCAACATGGTGAAACCCTGTCTTTACTAAACATACAAAAATTAGCTGGGTGTGGTGGCCTCTGCTGAGCTCTCTTTTGTGTTTTAATGTAAGGTTAAGGAGCTCCTGGGCCTTTGGGGATTCTCAGCCAAACCAGGTCCCATCATCATGGCTTTCTCCCCTCTCTGCACGGGCAGACAGATAATCTGCTGCTGCACACAGGACACACAGAGCTCACCCCTGCTCACTCAGGCTCACCTCCTAGGATGCCTCCTAGGCAGGCAGAAGTCGAGGCTGGCTAGCCACCCTCACATTCTGGGACCAGGGACCTGCACCTGCCCTTGCTACACTCAACTGTCTCTCGGGCTGTCACCACTGCCCTCAGAAGAGCTCACACTGCTGGGGAGCCCAACTGTTTCTCAGGATCTTGCCAAGAGGTGGCAAGAGAGTTTCCCCTACTTACCTGCCCACTGGGAACAAAACTTTATTTACTTTTTATTGAGGTAAAACAGATTTAACAGAAACTACCATTTTCATCATTTTTGAGTACAGAGTTTATTGGCGTTAAGTTTATTCACATTGTTTTCTCACCATCACCGCCAATTCATCTCAAGAACTTTCTCATCATCCCAATATCAGACTCTGAACCCATTAAACACCCAGCTCCCTGCTCCCCTTTTTCCAAGTCCCTTAATTTGAAGTGCAATGAGGAGACTATTTTTGAAATTAGAATGTTCACTTTTTGTTGACTTTCTCCATGAAAACCTTCCCTTGATTTAGTCAGAAGTCCCCACACCCTGGTTTCTGGGACAGATTCCTCCCAGGCCTCAGGAGACTGTGCCCCATCTGCTGATGATGCCATAATGGGACCCCAACAGGAAAACCACGATATCTAATGTGCAAGGGCGGGGTTTTCAGGGGAGAGGAGGGGGTTTCCCGAGAATTCTGGAAGCATGTCTGGAACTAGAGCCTTGCGTGGGAAGTGCGGCATTTTTCTATCAGTGAAGCACTGACAGAAAAAATGGGGAGACACCTTCTGAGGGGGCATCACAGGCAGGGGAGAGGAGAGGCAGATAAGCACTGGCTGCACTTATACTCAGGCCACTGAGCAGCGGAAACAGTCCAGAGTGTGTGGTGCCACTTTCCCATTGGGATGTTGTGCCTTTTCTTACCAATTTTTGAGAACTTTTGGAATATTATGGATAATATTAAGGATAATAATCCCTTTCCCAGTTCTGGGCTGCTCCCTGTGGCCAGAGAAGGTGGCCTTGAAGGTGTTGGGTAAAGACCACCTGCCCAGCTCTCCAGGCTTGCTAATGCGGGGGAAGGAGATGCAGCCCAAGGATCCTGAAGCTCTTGCATCAAGTAGCTATACTCCACCCAGAGCTGCCGGCCACGGGTCCAGCGAAAGAAAACTGTCAGGACCACCACTGCTGCTGCCACCAACCCCTCCCCGGCAATAGAGGTGGAATAGAGATGACCTGCCCCCACCTGCTAAGCTTCCCTGCCTATCTCCTGAGGGATTCCTGGGCAACATGGATAAGAAGAACACCAGTAGAACATCAGAATCCAGGAGACTAAAACAGCTGCTTGGGAAGATAAAGAAGACATGGCAGGGCAGGCATGGTGGCTCACACCCGTAATCTGAGCACTTTGGGAAGCTGAGGCGGGCGGATCACGAGGTCGAGAGATCGAGACCATCCTGGCCAACACGGTGAAACCCCGTCTTTACTGAAAATACAAAAATTAGCTGGGCATGGTGGCTCGTGCCTGTAGTCCCAGCTACTCAGGAGGCTGAGGCAGGACAATGGCTTGAACTCGGGAGGTGGACGTTGCAGTGAGTGGAGATTGCACCACTGCACTCCAGCCTGGCGACAGAATGAGATTCCGCCTCAAAAAAGAAGAAGACATGGCAAACTGCAGTGCCACCCAGCCTGCCCCTGCTGTCTCCACACCTGCTGAGACTCCCTGCCCAGGCCACCTACACTTCACAGATCCCAGCTCCTCCTCCTACCTGTGACTTGGCCCACATGGCTGCTGGGCCCCTCACCCTGCCTGTCCCTCCACCTTTGCCCACACCAAGAATTGAGTAAAAATTGATATCCATAATTCCTAACTCTCCCCTGGGTCCTCCTGCTGACCTTGCCCCCATTTTGGGGGTTCCACCTAATGAGAAAGGAGGCTGCCCTCATTCAGCTGCAGCTTCAGCACCTCTGACCTCTCACCCCTGCCCCATACCTCCTAGCCCCGCATCTTTCTCCTTCCAGCTTCCCTTCAGAAGGGAGCCTCCTACACCCATATGTGTGTTTTCCTCTCCTCCTCTTTCCTCCCCAACTCCTCTTCCAGCACCTTCCACCGGGATCCCTGCTATCACTCATCAGCAGATGAATTCCACAGCAGCCATTTCCACCATCACAGCAAGGGCATCTGCCCACCTGAACTTGCAGCCTCCTTGAGCCCTCAGCTCTTTGCTACGGACATGACTACCACTACTAACACTGTGGTTTTCAAATCTTCACCAAGCTCCAGAGTGAGCACCCTCTTAATTTCCCAAATTCAGTGCACAGTAGAGGCACCTTGGAAAGACATCAGCTTACGTCTGCCTGGCTACATTCATATTCTCCAGGCCCACCCCTCAGCCCACACTTGGGGCCCCCTGATGGGCAGCAATGAAAAGCCTCTGTCCCCAGTGCCCCTGTTTTTCCAAGCCTTCCCATCGCGGCTCCTCCAGGCACCTCCAGTTTATGGAGCAGCGCCTCTGCAACATCCTCCTCCAGAACAGATTGTGCGATGGGGGATGGCACCACAACTGCTGCAACTGAACACAGTTAGGGTCCCCATTCAGAAAGAACACCCAAGGCCCACCTGGTACACACAGGTGGTATGATGGGGAACAAATAAGAAGCAAGTCTCCCTCCACATATGGTCCCCATGAATGGACATTGCTCCTGGAGGAAGGGGCTCAGTCCATTGAAGTTAAATTTAAGCTGCTCTCTCCTTATAAAAGCCAGAGGCCCCAAACCTCAAAGTGTGTGTGTGTGTGTGTGTGTGTGTGTGTGTGTGTGTGTGTGTGTGTGTTGGAGGAGGATGTGGGGCTGATGAGCCCAATCAGAACCACAGTGTATTTGAGGCACTCCCCTGTGGACAGAAGAAGAAGCCAGCATGTGTCATCATCAGCTGTGCCCTCCCCCGCTTGACTGTTCATCTGGCTGACCAAAGCCCCCAGCCAGGTCTCTATTCTTTGAACTGGCAGGATGCCCACCGCTATTTCCAGGTGCCCCTCTTCCCCTTGCCTGTTTACTTTGATGGGCTCTTCTCTCTCCTGATTGTAAATTAAAACCTTATTCTTTTTGCTCTGCCTCTGCTCATGTGTCTATATATTTTATAATATATATCTTACATATTTTAATTTTTAATTAAATATTATATATATTAATTATATGTAACCTTAAAACTAGATATAAAGAATGTAGGCATATAGATACCTTGCAACCATAAAACCTAAAGAAACTTGCAGATCAACAAATGCAGAGACCTCATAAAATTCAAATGACAATATTAATATAATGGAACAAAGGCAGAACAGTCACTCCCCTCCGCTGTGAGGAAGTGGCGCCCCCTGTCCACATGCAGACTCTCCTGAGACCCGCCTGTTGGCGGTGTGCTTTGCAGTAACTGGCTGCTTCCACCACTTGTCCCTATGTAAGTTACACAGAGGCTTCCTTTGCACATCCTGTAATGAAGCCTTTTGGCCTTCACTTGGTGAGAACACAATATTTCATATTAACTCCCTGTGCATTCTTTTTTCTTTAATATTTCTCTATAACAAAGAAAATGTCATGCCCTGGCACCAAAGAAATGTTAAATAGATAAAAATATGGAAGCTCTCTGTTAAGTCGATCATCCAAATGAACCAAAATATGTTGATCTTGATCGGTCACTCCACATCTCCAGCAATATGACCCTGTAGGCACCTGATCTCCTCCATTAACATTTTATTTACAAAATCAGGCTTCAGACCAAAGCTGGCTATGGTTTGCTGACCCCTGTTCTAGTAGAAGAGACATTCAACAACTAATTACACAAATAACAACCACTAAGTGCTATCAAGTAAAAGTACCCAATGCTTAAAACCCTCTAAGAGTAGAGATTGAACCTATGCAGGTAGATCAGATTGCCCTGAGGGAGTGGGTCTTAGATTAAATGTAGTTAATTAGTCAGGTGAGGGCAAGACTACTCCAGATGGAGGAAAACACCTGGGGAAAGGGTTGGGGCAGAAGACAGCCTGGCAAACCCAGTTTGAAAGAGGCTTATGGAGAGGGAGCAGGAAGAGTGAGGGCCAGCGCCTGTGAGCTCAGGCTGAAAACAGCAGGGAGGCCAGCCCCTGTGAGGTCCTGTGGGTCTTGGGAGGGAATTAGTTCTCTATTTAAATACAGAGACTGCGGCACAAGACAAGATGGAGTTGGAAGCCTCCTCTGTTCACCTCCAGACCCACCTTCTGTATCCTCTTTGTGTGCATTTTGGTTCTAGGCTTGCCCAGTGTCTTTACAAGTTTTCCTCCATGCAATTCCAAAATCTTCCAACAAAACAAAAAGGAAAGGAAATTTTGTCTGCACCTAGGCTATCCTATAGTGGAGGACCTAGAGGACTGGAGAGAGCTGTGTTCCTGATTCTCCTTTCCTCTCTGATGCCCCCTTATATGGAGTCTTAGCAAAGCTTTCTCTGTCCTCGATGTCAAAGGAGCCTTCAGAATATCGCCTGGGCTCCTCCTCCTGTGTTACCATGCCTTCTGGGTCTCGCCCTGCCCGCCTCTGGACTCTGTCCTCACTGCCTCAATTCCACTCTCTGCTTGGGGACACTTGCATAGCTTGCTGCCCCGTGAATGCTCCATGTCCCCTTTTCAGTTCCACGTTGTTCCTCTGCTGGAAGAGCATGTGCCTCGCCTGGCCCCTTTGTCTGGACACCTTCTTTTCTTTAAGAATCCACCCAGGAATGGCTCCTGATGCTTCCAGGTCTGCAGGAAGCCATCCCCGGCCCCTTCCTCACCCAGCCTGAGCGCTGTGCTCCCCTGCAGTGTCCACACAGTTCCCGGTGTGAATGACTGACATCCCAAACTACTGTTCACGTCAGCCTCCTGCACCGCACCCTGAGCTTGTGAGCTCTATGACAGCAAAGGGCTTATGTGAAGGGCGTTTGGCACTTTCCATGTGAAGTTTAACCCATTTACCTTGTTAATTCCATTTGTTCCCACCTCTTAGGTACCTGCATATTTCTATCCTTCAGATTTCCTAGCACTGGGCCTTATAGCAGCATTTCTTAAAATGGGATCCCCAGTCCAACAGCATCAGCATCACATGGGAATTTGCTGGAAATGCAACTTCTGGAGTCCTCCTTGGACCCCTGGGATCTAAAACTCTGGGGTTAGGTGCAGCGATCTGTGCTTTCATAACCCCTCCAGCTGACACTGAGGCCGGCTAACGTTTGAGAACCACGGCCTCCCAGGAAGTCACTGCTCATGAAATTGTTGATTCCCTGAGGACAGTAACTGGTTATTTTCAATCTGAAAAAGAAAAAGAGTAACTGAGGAAATGACAAAGAAAATTTTTACTTTAGAAAAAGAATTTTCTGACTTGATATTTCAAATACGTGACTTCCAAAGAAGGCCTAGTTTTGTACATTTAAAAACAAGGTTGATTCTGCCTGGCTCAGTCTACCCCACGTGTGGTTTTGCTGAAGGGCAGGTGTTTGGAAGAGATAACCTTACCAGGTGCCCTCCACTGCTCAAGTTCTCTGCTTCTAGGATATTCTATGTAGCATAAAATAAATATAAGCTAGAGAGGAGGGCATGGTTGCTAGGGGAGTAAAAAGATGGTTTCTGTTTTGCAGGATGAAAGTATTCATGGATGGATGGTGGTGTTGGTTGCATAAAAATGTGAATGTATTTAATGCCACCAATCTGTGCAGTTCAAGATGGTTAAAATGATCAATCTTATGTTATTTATGTTTTACCACATTTTGAAAATAAAAATAAAAAGATAAAGCTGGCACCTAAAAATGTCCAGGTAACAATAAATGTGGCAGAGTGAAGTACAGGACTACCCATTGTATTTAGAGCAGCCCAGCAAAGCAGAGGCCCCTAGAGAAATGGGGGATAAGAAAAGTGAAAGATTGTTATTTCCAAAATAACCACCTACAAAGTACAAAGTGGTCTTCCTAATGGGAAGAAGTGATTGTTCCTTGGCTCATTTTCTTTTTTTTCCTTTTTTTTTTTTTTTTAGTTTTCAGGGTTTTTGTTCAGTTTGAATTCATATATGGGAGGATGTCATAGTGTTTGCAGGCCTTTGGATTCTTGAGAACTTAATCAGGCCAAGCTGTTCATGAGGAGTGGGGTGCTCAAATTCATTCTTCCAACAAGGGGCTGTTGGGTACCACTATGGTGCCAGCCCCGTGCTGGCCACAGGTATGAAATGCCCAGTGAGGGCCACATCCTGGCTCACCTACCAGGCCACGGGCTGAGCTCCACAGCTGCCTGAGAAATTTGCTTTCAGGGGTAATTTGTAGAGATTGTAGCTGAGCTTTGGGTGACAACCTGAGGTGCGGTCAGACTTTATCATCACAACCAAAAGTCACATGCTGATGAGAGGCTCCAAACAACACCTGGAGCCCATGACCCAGCAACTTCCAGATGTTGAGTTGGGACAGGGAACAGGCTTGTCTGCTCCAAATGAATGCCCTGGCCAGAAAGAGAAAACCAGGGAGGCACTGTTGAAAGAGCGTGTTAAGGAGCAGTGAGCCCCCTTCCACCTCCACCAGGAAACGTCCCCAGGACAGACAGCTGCCGACCTCTTTCTGGAAGCGCTGGGCCTCAGAAGATTGCTGTTTCCTGCCTACTTGCTCCCAAGGCATATTCTTGATCAGAAAGGAGGGAAGAAGTGCGTAGGCATGGGGAGGAGGGGCAGGGAAGAAGTCACAGGAATGCCCACAGCAGAGGTCTGTGGAGATGCTGGGCTATCCCTGGTGGCAACACTCTTGGGGCTGGCGCTGGGTGAGGATGGCCTCCAAAGCACCCTATGCTGTGACTCCAGCCCCCAGGATCCTCCTCAGGGTACAGAGAAGGAGCTCAGGTGAGCTCTGGGTGGATGATACCATCTTTTCCCATTGAAATCACAGAATTTTACAACTAAAGAGAACTTCCAGATGATTTGAGTCAACCGCACTCTTTTGGGGGCTGGAAGCAGAGATGAAAAGATTTAGACAAAATCACACAGTTCAATGATTAACAATTCAGACTGTCAGGCCATCTGACCACAACTGAGGCCCCCGGATACTACTCTACTAAGTGTATTATACTGTGGTGTGTATGTAGGTGTGTGTGCACATGTGTGTGAATGTGTGTCAGGACTACATGTATATACATGCGTATTGTGTAAGGGTGTGAGTATGTGTGTATTTGGGCATCTGTACATAAGTGTATGTGTATAGGTGTGTTGTGTGCATACATGCTCATATGTGTAATGAGTTAGTGTGCATGTACCTATGTGTGTATTGAGCATGTGTGTAATTCTATGTGTTTGTGGGTGCACATATATGTGTATTTGTGTGTGCTTAGTGAGCGCTTCGCTGGCCATAATGGCTTGTTTTTCTGGCCAAGAGACTTGATTCTCCCTGATTCAGCCGTGAGTGTGCATTTCCCAGGGTCAGGGTGACTAACCAGGACATCCGGAGAACTTTCTTCTTCTCTGCCCCACCCATCCTGCCTACTCCATTCTTGGGTGTCAGAGGCTGAGGCTCTGGCCCCAGTGTGAGCCCCACAGGAGGTCTTCAGAGCCCTCAGGTTGCCTCACAGCCAGCCTCCATGAGCATCTTTCTGTTTTCCAAGAGGGTGAGCCAGGGCTGTTCCTGTCAATGACAAGATGCTGGGACCTGGATTCACGTGCAAGGAGAAACCAGGCACTGGGGGCTGAGTGTCCAGCTGCTGCTGGGCTGGGAGTCAGCAACCTCTGTGCTTCCAGGGCTCACCCTCCCTGGCAATGGGTGGTGCCCCTTGGCTTTGCGGAAATTTGAGGCAATGAAAGTTTTTATTTCCTCTGGCTGTATTTTCTAGACATATTTTAACGTAGCTATAATCTTACAAAACGATGAATTTTTTGTCCTGCTTTTAAAAAGATTTTAATTAGGTTAGAATATAACCAAGGCGGGTGGATCACCTGAGGTTGGGAGTTCAAGACCAGCCTGACCAACATGGAGAAACCCCATCTCTACTAAAAATACAAAATTAGCTGGGCATGGTGGCACATGCCTGTAATCCCAGTTACTCGGGAGGCTGAGGCAGGAGAATCATTTGAACCCAGAAGGCAGAGGTTGCAGTGAGCTGGGATCGTGCCATTGCACACCAGCCTGGGCACCAAGAGCCAAACCTCATCTCAAAAAAAGTAAATAAATAAATAAAAATGACTAATAAATACTTACTGAAAGTATAAGTATAAAAAACTTTAATTATGTTAATTATGAGATTTTAAAACTGTATTACTGGAGAAAGAGACCAAATCTCCTCATAATACTTTTTTTGTTAATTTATTTAATAATAAAGATGAACATAAACACCTGTGCAATTCAGTGTTTAAAGTTTGCCAAGGTATATGTATATATTTTTCCCAACGTTGATGCTGTGAGAAGCCCAAGCCATGGAGAGGCCCCAGGCAGGTGCTCTGGTCAACAGCCCAAGCTAAATGCCCAGCCAACACCAGCATCTGCAACCAGCCCTGTGCGTGAGGCTTTGCAGATGTCTAGTCTCGTCAAGCCCTGCAGATGTCTAGTCCCGTCAAGCCCTACAGATGTCTCCAGCACAGATAGAGCCTACAGATGTCTCCCCGCGAAACCACACAGCCAAGTCCAGGCGGAAAATGTGAAAGATGTTTCTACCAAGCCACTGAGTTTCTGGGTGGTTTGTTTTACAGTAATAGAGGAGAACCAGAATGGTCTGTTCCTGCACTCTCCAGTGGTCCCCTATGTTCAAACACTCTGCTTAGCAAGCTTCATCACCCAACACCTGGACCTAATCACTCTGCAGGGTCTCTCACTGCAGTCATTTCTCAGGGTTACTGACATGCTAGTCTCTGCTAAGATGCTCACCTCTTCACCTTCCCTTAGTGACTGGCTGCTCTGGTTGATATTGTCTTTCCCTTCCTCCCGGAAACCCTCCCTCATTACCTCCCTTTCCCTAACAGTTCCAGCTCCTTGAGGTAAGGGCCTGTCTCTTCCACCATGGTGATAACCTGCATATGTTGGGTGCTGCATAAATTCTAACTGTATCAAATCTAGGACCCAACCTGCACAGTTAAGGGATTTACCTTGGGAATCTTCCCAATCTTCTTGCTAACATGGGCTACTTTTATTATAAAATTTCACAGTTGCCATTTTTGTCATTTTATGTCAAAAAGATGGTTTTAGCAACGACTAGGGAAGGGCACATAAGAGTCCAGCGTGGCACATGATCCAGTTCAGATGAACTTAAATGGAGCCTGCTGGAGGCTTTGTGGGATGAGACCCCATTGTCCTCCTAGTTTTCTTCCTGAAAGATTATGGAGTCTATTCACTAAACACTTCTAACTATCTTTTATATTTTTTTTCAGTGGGAACATGAGGCTTTTGAAAAAACACAGATGATGAGACTATGTGCTCTTTTAGCCAATACAATGTGGGAAGTTTTTCTATTGGTTAAAATAATTCAGGTGCTTACAGGTAGCTTGGTGTGAATGTGGCCACAGACTCTCAGTTTGGGTCCTCTTATCTGTCTTCCACCTTCCAAGGCCAGCACACCATTCCTGAAGCCCAGCCTCACACCCTGGAGTTTATCCCTCATCCCTTGAGGACCCAAAGACAAACAGCCTTGCCAACGCACTAGTGCCTTGTCTCACCTCAACTGCAAAGTGGCCATGGGGTCTTCACCAGCAGCTGGGGAAGATGCTCCAGAAACTGGCCCTGATAGCTTTGCCCTGTAACTTGGCTGGGTTGCAAACATTGTGGGTGAGATAAACATGATCTCTAAGGCTCTTTTTCAGTATTGAAATTACATGTATGTCTGATCACTTTAAAGAAAAATGTGAATTTTTTCTTTATTAAAACAATTTTCCTTTGTCCTTATAGATCGTTTGTCATATTTTGCTTCAATCAAGAATTGAGTCAGACACAACCACTGGGCAGCTGACATGAGATCTGCACATTTGTTACTAGAAGAGCCAGAAGGCCACCCACTGTTCCTCCTAGTGAACCACTGGTAGGGCAGGTATGGCTTAGAGCCCAGTTTCATGCTTGACTACTGATATGGTTTGGCTGTGTTCCACCCAAATCTCATCTTGAATTTTAACTCCCACAATTCCCACATGTTGTGGGAGGAACCTGATGGGAGGTAATTGAATCATGGGGGCAGGTCTTTCCCATGCTGTTCTCATAATAGTGAATAAGTCTCACGAGATCTGATGGTTTTATAAGGGAAACCCCTTTCGCTTGACTCTCATTGTCTTCTCTTTTCTGCTGCCATGTGAGACATGCCTTTCACCTTCTGTCATGATTGTGAGGCCTCCCCAACCACGTGGAACTGTGAGTCCATTAAATCTCTTTCTTTTATAAATTGCCCAGTCTTGGATATGTCTTTATCAGCAGCGTGAAAACAGACTAATACAACTACACAAAAAAGTCAGTGCATCAAAACAGAAAGAAGCCCCACGAGTACATTTGAAATTACAGTTTATTTAAACAGGTAAAATTGTATATATCCTTTTAAAATGAAAATACAAAGTAAGTGAATCAATAATACAAACATGTTTATAGCAGTAATTAAAATACAGGTAACATTTACCAGTGTGAAAATATCAGAATTCCAATCACACTTGGATCTTCAATGATTGAAGTGTGCATTCCACACAGCAGGGGCTGGTAGATTGAAGATAAATTCCTCCTTTGGATGTGCCATCCTCAGTCAAGTTCTTCCTCATCACCAACCATCAGCTCACACAGTGGGGTAGCTGGCTGCTGTGGCAATTCCACAGCTGTTCCTCCGGTCTTTGGCCATCTTTATGTAGCCATCCATGCCCCAGTTTTTACCCCAGCTGAAAGGAGAGCAGGTTTTCCATTTCAGAGGAAGGATAAAGCACACTGGGTTATTAACTTAAACAGTGTGCCAGAAGCCACAGTGTGCCAGAAGCCACAGGCTTAACATAAAGAATCAGGAGATGCTGATGTTCCTGTTCATCCCTTGTAAATTCTTGAGTCAAAACCTGCATATCGCTTCAATCCCAGACCCAAAACTGTGACCTTTCACAGAACTGCAAAATCAGAAACAGAAAAAGGATAGGATGTCTTTCCAGCTGATATGCTTCAGAATTAAGAAAATGTTCAGAATTTAGACATGCAATGGGACAAATACCATATTAATATCCCCAGCATGCTTGTGACAGTATCTTGACGTTACAATCAATCATTAATATTCTGTGTTCTGCCTAAGGGTGAAAAAGACTTCTGGGATTTCAGAAATGTGATTAAGGGCTTGTGGTATGTAAATACTGATTGCAAAAAAGGATTCCCTTTTGAATTTCAACTATAAGTCTTTCTGGCAATTTATACCTGTTCTTCACCAGCCAATATTTATTGTTATCTGAGTCTGCTCCTTCATAGCTGTAGCCAACTACCAGCATAGCATGATCCAGGCCTTCAGGGTCACAGCGTGGCTCAAAATAAATTCCTGAGAGAATAAAATGAAGGCTGGGTGAGAAGTTCCCAAGGACACCTGACAGTAACCCACCCTGTCTCCCACAGGGAGGGAGGCATCTCTAAAATCAGTGAAATGACACACAGTCCAGATAGGGCTTAACAAGATCTATTGTTATCAAGGCTAGGGAATTAGGCTCTCATCCACAACTAGCAGAAATAGAAATTAGCATAAGTCCCTCATAAAAAAACTTTCCTACAGGCATAAAAGACCATTCATTTTAAGCTTGTAATTCTACTCTAGAATATCAATCTTAAAAATAGCACAGAACACCAAAATCCTTGACTCAAAAGGCTCTTTTCAGATTTAATCACAGAAGTAAAAATCTTTGGAAAAATTCTAAGAATACAACAATTAGTCAATATTTAAGTAAATTAAACTATACTATAAATAACATAGCTATTTATAAAAAGTTATGAAGTACAGGTATTCATGGAGATACGCTCAATGTAATATCAAATAGAAGCATTGGGTATGATTATTGCGTGTACAGAGTCCATCATGCTGGTGTGTCATGGTGGTTTACTTTTTTTCTGCAATAATTTCTATGAAGAAAGATGCTTACCTTTTTTATAGAACTGGAAGGAGACATGGCTTGCACCAACAGCAACAGAGATGGGCCCCACAGTTGCCACTGCCTTCGCCAAGTCCTTCTCCCGTGAAGGGATGTCCACAAAGCCAGTGTCATTAGCAGCAGAATACTTGGGATTGTACCTACAGGTTTTAACCTTTTAAAGGTGAAGAGGGAGGCGACTTGATTACTACCATCCTTCTCCTGGGGAATGTGAGTCAGAACCACAACACTCAGCAGTTTGCAGCATAGAATTTCCAAGTCAACACTGTTACAAATCATCCAAGGAAGTGAAATGTTATTATTAATAGTTAATTTGAAACTGAAAATTAGCTCAGTTCTCTTCAGCGAGACCCCTAGGTTTACTTTCCGTAAGACATTTTTCACAATGGAGACATCTGTATTATATGTAGAATGGTTTGTATATTCTCCGTGTCACATAGAAGCAAGAACAGCTGCATGTTAACCATGTAATCACAGAACTGTGCAAAGGCTATAATTTATAATGACAACACTGTCACTTTGCAGATAGAGATTCCACCATCTAAAACGTGAATTCTGAAAAGTGTCTGTTATCTCTGAAAGTGTCCCAGTAAAACCAAGCAGGAATGGCAGCAAGAAAAGGAGCTCCATTTACCTTTCCTTCATATGGATAGGATGCCTCAGAGTCCAGGCCTCCGTTCTCCTGAACATACCGGAAGGGATTATCCATGAAGCCACCATTGCAGCCCTCATTGCCTTGAGGCCCAGAGCAGTCTACCAGATTCTGCTCATTCAGTGAGATAAGTTTGCCTGTTTTCCAGAACATCTGCCCTTCCAGAGCACCAGTTGCACTAAAAGCCCAACAAGAGCCACACTGACCCTGAAAAGAGAATAAAAAAGCTGATATCCACACACACACACACACACACACACACACACACAGCAAGACTTTTAACAACATGAGTATTTAGCTCACGTAGCTAAATACTCCTTTAAAAAGTGAACTGCATGTTGCTGCACAGTCTACCATAGCACAAATGTCAATTGCTTCTTGGCTTTCCTGGGGTGATGGGAGGTCTGAACCTAACACAGTCTCACCTGATCCTTCATAGGAGTCATGTAGCCTTTCTCTCTCCAGTCCACAGATGTGGGGATCTCAAGAAGCAGGCGTTCCTGGAACTGTTTCCCCTTCCTGTGCTTCTGGTGTTGAAAACCATTCATCACCTGCCTGAATTCTTCATTGGTCTTCAAAGAAAAGTAAATAAAATGTTAAGAAGCAAGAGATTAATTTGGTAAAGAACTGAGGAGGAGGGAAGCACAGAGCTGGGCAGCCCACAGCATACTTACCATGTCTCCAAAGGCGTTCATGGCCATTGTGAAGCTGTGTTTCCCTTGGCTGTATTCCTGATTGTGCTGCTCAATCATCTTCACGTCCTTCTCTCACACTGCTCTCCTCCATCCTTCTCCATTCTAAAGGCAAACATGTAACTGATGCTCTTCATTTCTTTTTTTTTTTTGAGACGGAGTCTCACTCTGTCGCCCAGGCTGGAGTGCAGTGGCACGATCTCAGCTCACTGCAAGCTCTGCCTCCCGGGTTCATGCCATTCTCCTGCCTCAGTCTCCCAAGTAGCTGGAACTACAGGCGCCTGCCACCATGCTAACTTTTTGTATTTTTTTTTTAGTAGAGACGGGGTTTCACCGTGTTAGCCAGGATGGTCTCAATCTCCTGACTTTGTGATCTGCCTGCCTCGGCCTCCCAAAGTGCTGGTATCACAGGCGTGAGCCACCGTGCCCCGCCGATGCTATTTATTTCTAATTAAAACCCAACATATGCTAACCAAGTGAATCTTCAGACAGAGATGTAAGAGTAACCATGGCCAGGGAAGGCTTGACACTTCTAGGAGATGTTTTCCAAGCTGAGACACAACAAGGGTGTATGCCCATATCGTGCTCATAATCAGTGCTATTAAGTTATTGCGTTAGGTTATTGGTAGGAGCCAGCCTCTAGAAGCCACTCTCTGGCCATATGATCCCAATAGCAATGCCCATCTCTCTGGGGTTCCCCTGGACAGTTTCAGATGCCACCAACCATGTCATATAATCTCTTGTGCTTTGCCTTCCACTTGGTCCATTGTGCGTCTAAACTGTGGTCACGTGTTAGAGCAGCTGAGGCAATTCCCAGGAAAAAGGCAGCCAGGAGGAGTGAAGGATTCATGTTTCAAAAATCTAGGAAGGGAAAAGAAATGAGGATCTGATTAGACCGATCCTAAAAAGCCATTTTACTACCCCCTGAGAAACTAGGGCCACCATGGTAGAATAAAAATATTTAAATTATTCTTCCAAGCATTTACCTAAGGACTGTGGAAGAGGCCAAGGATGTGGCTGGAGAAAAACAGGGCAAGTGGAGGTATTGGAGGGACCCACCAAAATGAAAAGCAGCCTGTCCAGAGCTGTAGGAGTTGAAACAGTTTTCTGGGATGATGATGACAGGCTATGAAAAGGACAGGAAGGTACCTGATGGGCGAGAAGCTTAAGGCAACAACCGGGAAACTAGGAAACCGTTGGCCCAGGTTTTGTACCAATTGTGCTGAGGTCATCCAGGCAAAACCTCAAGAATGAAGACATCTAATTTCAAGAAGGGACAAAGGGATCCCCAATAATTGGGAAGTCACATCACACCTTGTTCTTGGCTAATACACAACAGAAGGTGAAGTATGTTTTCCAAATGCCCCTTGTAATGAAACAGTTATTGAATGTCTTCCCAGGACAAACTGGGAAGGAGAGCACCCATCTACCGCCGTTCCCGCAGTCCTGCAGTCCTGCAGGTGGGCCAGTCCTGCCAACACTCCAGCTCCCCTCACAGAGCATAAACTGAATCAGGTGGCCGAACCACCGGAAGCCAGAGTCCCCAGTGTCCGCGCCCACACAGGGGTGGGTAGGCAGCTTCCCAGGCTTTGGGCTGGGGACCCAGGCCAGGTCTCCTGGCTCTTGCTCCCGCCCTCCGCTCATGCTCACTGTGGCCCCAGGACGTGGGCGATGTTGCAGGGAGCAAGGGGCGCCTCTGCCTGATTTGCCGGGGTCGAGCCTCCCTGTCCCACCCCCACCGGCCCTGGGAATACTGCGGCCTGGCACTCCGGAAAATCCCTCACTCACAGAGCTGAAGGACTTGCTGGGTCCCTGGTGGCCCCTGTCCAATCTTAGCCCACTGGGGTCTCAGCTGCTGTAGCCACAGGTGGACAGGCACAGTGGGCAGGTGCTGGGTCCAGGAGTCTCCTGTCGCCTAAGGCCGCCCGAAAGCAGCTAATTGACCTCTAAAGCCCCTAGACCCCCCTGCCCCCTTGCCGCCCAGGCAGGCCCGCCCCCACCACTTGCCCGCTCTGCGATTGGCTGCGCCAGCCGCTGGGCGGGGCCTTCCGGCGTGCTGACTCCTGGCATGTGGAGCAGCTCAGTCCCCTTGCCTCAGTGGAACCGGGGGAGGGGAGCTGGGGGCTACGAAGAGAAGGGTCGGAGGTCTCCCTGGAGGGTTCGGATCAACTAAGTACCCTATTTAATGCCCTGGGCGGGTGGTTTATGAAAAGAAATTTACGGGAGCCCTGTGTGCATCTTCAGCCTAACCCTGCTTTTCCCTTAGGCCTAGAATTTTTGATTAAAATCTCCTGCAGGGCAGAGAGCCAGAGGACTCTAATCCAGTGGTTCCTGTTTAGTCCACAGCAAAGGTGCGGCCGGTTGGAAGAACGCACGGCCTGCAAGCAGAAGCCTTATCTCCCAATTAAGGGTGTAGAAGAATCTGGGCGTGTTGCTGGTGTCTCATGCCTGTAATCCCAGCACTTTGGGAGGCTGAGGCAGGCAGATCACTTGAGCCCAGTAATTCGAGAACAGCGTGGGCACCCTGGCGAAACCCCTTCTCTACTAAAAACACAAAAATTAGCCGAGTGTGGTGGCCCGCGCCTGTGGTCCCAGCTAGTCGGGAGGCTGAGGCACCAGCATCGCCCAGCCCGGAAGGTTGAGGCTATAGTGAGCCGAGATCACACCACTGCACTCCAGCCTGGGCGAGAGGAGACCCTGTCTCAAAGACAAAAAAAACAACTGGTAGGAAAACGCACCCTCAAAACACATGATAAGATGGTCGAGACCAGACCCTAGGAGGGTGGGGATTGGCTGGGTGGGTATCCAGAGACCATGGGCGTTTCATAATGCATTGTTTCCCGTCTCCTCCACTCAGCGACTCTTCTTCCCCTGAAGTCTTGCATTAAGTAAGTGAATGAATCAATCATCAAGTTAATGAAGCTCTGACTTTGTACTTGTTGTCCTTTGCTTGGTACAGTTGGGCACTGCCTTAGAAACAACCTCCAGGTAATTTTCCCAACTGCTTTTGTGAGGCCCAGTTTTCCATTTTAAAATCTAAGATTACCTCAGTAATCTTGCTTTTACAGCAAATGGGCATGGAGCCTGACAGATATATTTAAACTAAGTTATGGACAAGCTGCCTGGTGCATTAGGTAGCATAGGAGCTAACCTTGTGGGACATCTCCCCATATTCGTAATATTCACCCCTACATCTATAATCAATAAATGCTTGTTTGGAGGCCATAGAAACTCTTCCTGAGATCTGACCTGTGTCTTCTGCTATCTGCCTGATTTCTCGCCACAGAACAGGAAAACACTGTGTAGGAGATATTGTGAATAGAAATATGAATATAGGCCGGGCATGGTGGCTCACACCTGTAATCCCAGCATTTTGGGAGGCCAAGGCGGGTGGATCACCTGAGGTCAGGAGTTTGAGACCAGCCTGGCCAACATGGCGAAACCCCATCTCTAATATAATGTTTTTCTTTGTACAAATATGTTTCTTTCCATGGATTAAGCTAAGAAGTATTGTCCCTCTGAAATCAATATAAGAAATATTATCAGTGACATTTCTTTCTTTTGTGCACAAAGAAAAAAAGAGTTTTATTAACTTAAGGACAACTAAACTCTCTTACCTAACTCCTCAAATGTCACCATTAAAAAGGAATTTGAGATACAAACTAGATATAGTTGCATCTGACTTGTAGGTCATAGGAAATGAAAGGTCAATGGAAGCATAATCTTTGAGGGAGAAGAATGCAAGGGAGAAAATGGAAAAGGTATTCATTTAATATTTATTTGCTGATTTTTGTATGATATGGTTCCAGAAATGACAAATAACGTGCGGAATTGAAAGACACAAAACTTTAAAATATATATTATGGATATATCAAAGCATGATAGAGAGGGGGAATCTCTAAGTTTATCTAGGACATTTATCCATAATTCTACCAAAGAAGCGTATCTTAATTCATCGACTTTCACCTTGTCCCTCCTAAACTCCTATTACTTCTCTATTATTTAAATAAGACTTTGTATAATTAACTTCCTCAAACTATAAAAATATTTATTAGATAAACCTATGTATTAGTTAGACAAGTAAAACAAGATAAACTTAGGTTCTGACATTCTGATTGAAATGCAACACCTAAATGCAGTACATGATACAAAACAGGCACCCAATAAGAGAAGTCATGGTCAATCATCACTATCATCATCATCATCACCATCATTATTTGCTAGATATTAATTTAGTTGCAAAGACTAATATGACATGGTCTCTCTCCTCAAATGGAGAGAATAAAGTAGCCAGTGTTTGCCATGTTGAAGGCAATGAGAAACATATTGCCATAGAAATGTGAAAAGCTAAACGATGTCATCTCATTCAGATTTTTCTCAAATTCATTTCTATCAGTCTTCTTGATAGAAATCTGAATGAGATGATATCTGGAAAAGCTGAAGCTGAAAAAAAAAGTATGCCAGGAAAGGCACATGAATAAGGAAAGGAATTATAGAGGAAGGAAGGAAAAGGATTTTCAAAACTATAAGGGTATTTAAAACTGCAGTCTGTACAGGAGACTCAAGACAGCTCAGGACTGTGCTAATGCAGATCACTTTACAAGTGGCATGACATGTGTTTGCAGAACTAACAAGGACAAGGTCAAGGAAGGTGGGATACGCCATGTAAGGCACTTGGGTTTCGTGTATATGTGATGGTAAAGCACAGAGGGATTTGAAGGAATATTTTACCCCATTCAAAACCTAAAACTGAAGCAAAAGGAGAATTTGATGTAAGAGTCAGATTCCAATTATTTGGGATATGCAGGTGTCCTTCACTTCTTCATGCATATTTTCCAGTTTTTCAAAATGGTCCTTTAGTCTCCCTCATTTCTTAATTATTTCGTAATGCTGCTTAGTTTCTCTGAAATCCTGAGAATATGAACTACACAGAATATGATCCCAGCCTTGAACTATGTTCCTAAATATGTTTTGATTTGTTTCAATGTTAGCAAGTTTACTTTCTCAAATAGATTGTAATCTCTCTGAGGGTGACATCATTTTGCAGGTAAATCAATGGACAACAGAGCTCACTGGGGCCTCAGAACTCTTGTAGTCCTGTTCATTTATTTCATAGCAAACCAGGGAAAAGAGGCTTAAATGACTATCTAAGTGTGCAAAAGCAGCTTATTGCAAAGCAAGAAGACTTCTTGTCAAATCCTCTGGACTGTGTAATTTGCATTCTCTCTATGCCCTCATGCTGTTATGCCCTTCAGACTTGCATATAATCACATTCATATTTAACTCTTTGGTTAAGTTCTTTTTATTAATAGACATTTTAATAGAAAAAATTTAGATTTACAGAAAAATAGGGGAGATTGTACAGAAAATCCCCATATGACCCCAGCATACAGGTTCACCTATTAGTAGCATTTTTCCATTAGCATGGCATATTTGTTAAAATTAGATAATATATACTGATGCATTATTATGAACTGAAATCCATAGTTTATTCATATTTCCTTAGTTTTTATGTAATGTCTTCCACCTATACCATGGTGGCATCCAGGACACTATGTTACATTTAGTTGTCATAACTCTTTGGGCTTCTCATGGCTATGACAATTTCTTAGACTTTGTTTTTGATGACCTTGATAGTATTGAGGCATGCTAGTCAGATATTATAGAATACATACCCTGTGTTGGGATTTGTTGGTGTTTTTCCTATTGATAAGACTAGTGTTTGGGGGAGGTATATTACAGAGGGAATTTGCTATTTTCCTTACATTTTATCAATGGTACATACTACCAATATAATTTATGACTTTTTAATTTTTTTTAATTTATGACTATTAATGTTGACCTTGATCTCCTGGATGAAATAGCGCTTGTCAGATTACTCCACTGTGATGTCACTGTTCTTCCCCCTTCCCATACTATACTCTTTGGGAAGAAGTTTCTTACACCAGTGCACACTTAAGAAGTGGGAGGAGTTATGCTTTCCCTCCTTTAGTGTTGACTAAGTAATTTAATTGGAATTCTTCTAAATGGGAGGTTTTTCCTATACTCCCTCATTAATTAATTTATCTAAACACATATTTATATTAGCATGGACTCACATATTCTGTTTTATACTTGGGTTTAATCATCATTCTTGATGACTAATAGGTTCAGTTTTAATTTCATCATTAAAATTAATGGAGGAGTTGGCTGGGCGCGGGGTGGCTCATGCCTGTAATCCCGGCGCTTTGGGAGGCCAAGGCAGGCAGATCACGAGGTCAGGAGATTGAGACCATCCTGGCCAACGTGGTGAAACCTCATCTCTACTAAAAACACACAAAAAAAATTAGTATGGCGGGCACCTGTAGTCCCAGCTACTCGGAAGGCTGAGGCAGGAGAATCGCTTGAACCAGGGAGGCGCAGGTTGCAGTGAGCCGAGATTGCGCCACTGCACTCCAGCCTGGGGGACAAAGCAAGACTCCGTCTCAAAAAAAAAAAAAAAAAAAAAAAAAAAAAAATTAATGGAAGAGTTTTCTCCAGTCTTCTTTAATATTAAAATAGTTTTTCAATATTCTATATTTATATTCAATATTCTAAAATATTTTTGAATTTGTAATAAATTTTGAGCCAAACAGTTACGTATTTTGCAAGCCTGAAAAGATGTCTGCAGATTAGAGAACATGAAGATGTTGTCGTGTATTCTGTTTAAGTAACAACCCTACTAAGTCTATAATGTTAAAATATAGCATTTATGGTTGCAGAAGTTGGTAAATATGATTGTGTATTCTGTGGGAAGATTGTATTAAGAACAAAAAAATGTGTAGTGGATAGATTTTTTTTTTTTTTTGAGACAGAGTCTCGCTCTGTTGCCCAGGCTGGAGTGCAGTGCGGCCATCTCGGCTCGCTGCAAGCTCCGCCTCCCGGGTTCACGCCATTCTCCCGCCTCAGCCTCGCAAGTAGCTGGGACTACAGGCGCCCGCCACTACGCCCGGCTAATTTTTTTGTATTTTTAGTATAGACGGAGTTTCACCGTGTTAGCCAGAATGGTCTCGATCTCCTGACCTCATGATCCACCCACCTCGGCCTCCCAAAGTGCTGGGATAAATCTTTTTTTATAATCCTAAATTTAACTAATTGATATCAATTTAACATATATTATTGATCCAGCTAATAATCATTACTCACTGTAGTCCCTGTCTTTGAAGAGCTTGTAAGTACACAGAGACCTAAAACAAATAAAATTTTTATAGTGTGGTAAGCACTGCAATAGAAAAATACTCAAAATCTGTGTTAAAAATATTTAACCCCTTTAATCTGGGTACACAGTATATATTAAAAAGATGAAAGTTTACATATGTTCAAGAATGATTTTAATCACTGCAAACGAGATTTGTTATTATTGCTTTTATATTTTGTTTCCTCTGACTAGGACACAGTATATTTTACATATTTTATCATTGGTTTTTCAAAAATCAATGAATGGATGGATTAATGGATGTCAGTTCATACCATGTATTTCAGCTACAGCTAAAAATCTCAGGTTAGAACCTAAAAGGAAATTATCTGAAGAGCACTCTAAGCACTTATGTAATATTTATCTGATTTTTAAATCTAACTTACTTGGTCTGATCATTTACTATTTTTAAAAAAATTCTCAATGATCACTTAATTATTCTGTATTAATTCTTCTAACTTTCACACACAAGAAGATCTAATCTTTGTAGTTCTCATTACAATAAAAAAACTACATGAGGATATAATAGTGTAGCATAATTTTTAACTATAATTACAACCACGTATGTAAATAATACAGGATAAATTGCGAGAACAAGGGGATCTAAGGTAATTTATAATTTCATCTTGTATAAATGATCAGATAATAGCTGAGAGAGGCTCCTACTTCACAAAATTGATTGTTACAGGTAACACAGCAGGATAACTTGTTACATGTATGTGATTTTAAATGTTCAAAAAACTTTTCATATTTTAACCAAGGTAGCACAAAGAACAAAGAAATTGATCTGCAGTCATATTTAATAAAAGTGCATACACAAAACTTTAAATAGTATATAAAATAATATAAGCCATCATGCCTGATGGAATCAGAATTCTATCTTTTTAAACATAAAATGGAGCATGTCTTGTTATTTGTACTTTCTGATGCACCACTGCAGGCCACATATAGGCTTGCATCTTATATATTGTGAAATCACCTTTAAAAATATCAAGGTGATATCATCCAAATTACTTTAAGGCATGACATAATGGATTATTTCCCTGTGTGATTATGGGATTAACTTCAGCTGGATGTTTAAGTCAGATTTTTTTGATATTCCAATAATACGTGTGCTACCTGATTTCTATTAACTTGAATAAAATATATTGTATAGTGTTGAAATTATTACCTGGAAGATCAAAGCAATTTCCCATTTTACTATTAAATGAGAAAAGCTTCTTGCTTAAAACAAATATTGATCCAAGACCCCTCTCTCATATGGCTGGTACAGAGACCCAGTAGGCACTGGAATAAGTGTACAAAAGTGAGGGTGGATACACCAGGGATGAAATAGACAGGAGTAGCCAGACCTGCCAGATTCATGGGGTAAGTTCCAAAATGGAGATAAAATAATATTGTTGTTGCTTTATAAATAGTAATTATTGTCATAACCAACTTAATGCTGTGAGTTAATATGTGCTGATAACTTGTTATATACAAGGTACTTATTTTTAGTGAGAAATTTTAAGGTGAAGTGATGGATGCCTCATGCTCATTATCTGTATTTTCCCCAAACTATAATGAATTTGAATATTTGAATTTTTGTGGCTCTTCATAACTAGCTTAGAATCTTTTCAGCTTTCTGAACTTTAAATTGTAAATTTTATTAAAAATTAATAAACAATAAATTCAACCCATTCTTGATTCAAAAAAACCTATTTGCCAAAATTTTAAACGTAGTATAAAAATTCTATAAACATATACATGTGCTTCTCAAAAAAATAAATGAATAAAATTCTCTTTTATTTTTATCATAACAGGACCAGGCTTTGGATAAAATGACTGCTGAGATGTAAGTTCCATCAGATTGCGACAGAGATGTGTTTAAATTAGGAGTCTTTCAATTCAAAATGATGTACATTGATAGCATATAGTATATGCAAGTTGGCATTTTCTTTTTTCTTTGAAATTATGTAATTTTTTCTTACTGTACCAAAAATCACATTATTGAGGTATAATTAATAGGGACTACTAGTAAGTTGTAGATATTATTCAATTTTTAAAATAAAAATGGCAAAATAAATGATAGAGTATTTCTAATCTGGCCTGATTCAAAATATTTTTTTTTCAGTTCTGCCAGAGGAAAAAACTATGTTTATGGTCTTGAAGCTCCCATATATACACATAGAATTATATATATATATACACTCACACACACACACAGAGACATCATTTTTTTCTTCTTATGAATTTCAATTTAACTTGAATTATAATGTATTATCTCTGTATGCAACTGCAACAACAACAAACAACTAAAGAGGAAGAGTGAGTCTTACAAAACAATTCTTACCAAATTAATCAGTTCTTATTAAGTAAAGTCCTATATATTAACGCACTGAGCAAATAAGCTCAAGTATATTCCTGAAATACAGCCCCTAAAATAGTCCTCAAAGTAAGGTAAAGATCTGGACCAAGGCACTTTCAAGAGGATTCTCTTGTAATTTATAATTGATGCTTAGTAAGATATAGAAAATTCGAATTTAATAAAAAGAATAAATTGTTCATTGAGTGAAGAATTCTCAAAGAAAGGAAGCTCAGAATAAGTCCTTCCTTACTATATAGAACGGAAGTATTTATCACATTTATGACAGTAATTCCTTCGAGAAAATTCTTTAGAATCTGATGTTTTAAGGTGATTTATTACATATGGAAATATTGTTAAAACAAATACATAAATGGAATGAATAAGATAACAAAACTTGAAGATTGGTTATAGCATTTTAAAATATGATTGCCATTTTATTTAATATTTCAAGATTTTTAAAGAAAATATTTTTAAAGTGCTTATTATAGACAGTGTGATAGTTCAGTGAAAGCTGAATGAGTTTGTTTTTAGGCAATGTTGAGAAAATACTACTCTGCAAAAGGCTTGATAAACTATCCCTGTATTGGAAATGTTTATCCAATTTCTACTTACTTACATAAATCACAGCAAGTTGCAATGTTTGTTTAGTAATATGAAAAATAAAACTACAATAGTAGATTAATATATAAGAAAAATTATATGAGCTCTACCTTTGAAAAAATATTTCAACTAGCCTATCAATTTATATTTTAATTTAATTTCATTAATAATGAATGTTATGCAGAGTAATTGAAATTATTTTAAATTTATCATATAATTCCCCCAAATATTTAATACATTATTTTAAAACTTACACAAATTGCTTTACCTGTTCTATGGGGAAAATGAAGAATTACATTCAATTGTTGAGGAAAGAATAGATTCTACTGGTGAAAATTTTTTCTCATATCATTCAAAGTGATTGGTATTCTATGCAATCAACAATACAAAATGCATATGTGGGAAACTCAATCTTCAGTGCTCTCATTTACTCTTGATTCAACAGGATATGTTTGTCCCTAAAGTCAATAGCAAAAAATTATTTTGGGAGAGTTATTTGTAATATATTTGATTGATAAGCACAAAAAGAACAGAAAGGAAAAGATCAACAGATTAATGATAGAATAGATCATTGAGTGTTCATTCTTGATTTTGCTTTCATATTTTTGTAATTGTTACAAAGCCTCTCACTATTAGGGAGGTTTCTAAATTCCCAAGATCAAACATACCCATTGATGAGCTTAATTATAGCATCCCCAAAGATAGCCAAACCTTTAATTTCCACAACCTATGAATAAGTAACTTTACATGAGAATAGGAATTTTTCAAATATAGTTCAGGCTACAAACTTCAAGATAGGGAGACTATTCTGTATTATCCTGGTTTCCTCAATCTAATCACATGAGGCCTTAGATGCAGAGAAATTTCTCTGGAAACAAGAGAGAAGCGGCAGAAGGAAAAGTCAGATTCCAAATGTCAAGAGGATTTACCATGCTGGCTCTGAGATGTAGGAGGACATGTGCCGGGACCAGAGAGGAGTCTTTAAGGAGGAAGGGCAGTCCCAGTGACAGCCAGGAAGGAAACAGCAGTTTCAGCTCTACAACACGAATCTGAATTCTGCCAGCAATCTGAATGAGATTGAAAGCAGTTTCTTCCCAGAGCCTTCTTGTAAGTGCCCTGCTGACCAACAGCTAAATTTGATCCTTTGAAACCCAAAGAAGAGAAATTAGCAAATCCAACTCCAACATCTGACCTAAAGAGCTGTGATATAATAAGGTGTTGCTTTAAGCCACTAGGCTTTTTGTAACATATTTTAGCAGCAATATAAATCTAATACAAGCATGAATAAGTTCTGGAGTTGTACAGAGTGGTGGTTATAGTTAAAAAAATGTATACTTGAAAATTGCTGAGAGTAGTGTTAAATAATCTCACCATGAAAAAAGTATGTGAAGTGATGAATATGTTAATTAGCTTAATTGTGGTAATAATTTCACAATGCATGCATATATCAAAAGATAACATTGTATTCTGCAAATATACACAATATTTACTTTTCACCCATACATTAATAAAACTGAAAAAAAAGAAAAAATACTGAATCTAACACGAGCAGCATCTATCTTTATTAACATATTTATTAACTTATTATTAGTCTTCCTAAAAGTTTCATTCAAATAATTTATATAGATACACACACACACACACACACACATACATATATATATATACATATATACTGTAGGCTATTTTATTTGTATAACAAGAACTAGGAAAAAGAACATTAAGTCACTGAGCAAACTAAATTTTCAAATTCAAAATTTCTAAATAAAATCTTCTTACTGAACAATCTCTTGTCAGCTCATTCAATACTATGCTGGCAAATATTTGATTACATGTATGATAATTTGTATAATTTTTAGTTATGTCTAATTTTTAAAAAATTGATATCTAAATATCCATGTCATCTTAATATAAAACTTTAAAAAAAGGCTCTTGATTATATGGCATTGCTTCATTAATTTCTTTATTTCCCTGGAGAAAGCAGGTAGTACACTTATTCTAAGTCTCTCTTTTCCATTTCTTCCAAGTTCATTGAAAGCTTTTTCATATAAAATTTTCTCTATCATCAATAATGGTACTAAGAGTAGCTAATTGATTATTTAAGCTTACCATGCATTAAGCAATGTATCAAGTGCTTTACGTTTAAGACTCTTAATAATGCCACGAAAGAAATACTATATTTTCTCTATATTTTCGATAACAATCATGAGACCCACTGATAAGTTGCCCACGTTAACCTACCTGATAAGTGAAACTGCCTGATTCTCTGAATCACAAGTATTTAAGTCTGTGCTTTTAAGTACTATTCTATCCTGCTTTCCCACTAGCTATTGTGGGCTTGGGCCCTGGTGATTTTTCTGTCTACTAAATAATAAAAAAGTAAACTCAAATATTTTACTCCAACACTAACTAGAAAGCAATATATGCTAAATAGTTCTGGTTTAGATTTGTTATTTCATTTTTAAAATTATATATTTCCAAATGTTTCTGGTTTTGTATACATTCTTTATAAAATGTTTACTTTTATTCAAAACCATCTTTATTCAGCATCTCCTGTGTTGTAGATATTGGTCTAAGTCTGAACATATGACAGAAACAGCATATGCAAAAAAAAAAAAAAATAGCCCGCATAGAATAGGTATTCAATTCTAGGTCTAGTGTGAAGTGATAAGCAAAGAAATTAAGCAAAATATATAGTAGATCATATGATAATAGATCATATAAGGAAAAGCAAAGCAGATAAATAAAGTGTGATGAATAAGGGTGTTACTTAAAATGCTGAAGTGAGATAAGACTTCATTAGCGAGGTGACATTTGAGCAGAGACTTAAAGAAGGTCAGGGATTGAGCCACATGGGTTTCTGGAATAACAGCTTTCCAGGAAAAGGGAAGAATAAATGCAAAACTCATGAAGCAGGAGTGTACATAGCATGTTTGCAAAAACATCATAAAGACAGCATAGTTGGATCAGAGTGAATTAGGGATAGATACATATACTATTAGGTCATAAAGCTTGTGGGGACCAAATCTGTTGATCTGAGTGAGATAGTGATGCGATATGGCTGGTGTTGACATAATTACTAGAATACTATGTTCTAAACAAACTCTATGATGGTAAAGGTAGAAGGATTTCTATTTACAAAGCTAATCAAAAAACAAGGTTAATACGAGTCACAGCTTGAGCTAGGGTGGTAAAGGTGAAAGTTATGAGATGTGGTATGATAATGCAATTAACAAGAGATTCATTGAAAAAAGAGAGTCAAAGAGGATACCAATGTGGATTAGATATAGCAAAAGAGAGAATAAGAGATATCAAGGATGACTCGAGGGGTTTTAGTTTTAGCAATTTGAAGAATGGGTATTACACTTGAGTCAAGTGGGAAAGATGACAGAAGGAGCTGTTTTGAAAAAGAATATGAGGAGTTTGATTTTGAACGTTATTATTGAGACTTGTATTGGACATCCAAATAGAAAGGCGGGGTAGATAATTGGATATATTAGTATGGAATTCAAGGGAGATGTTCAGACTGGTAGGTTTATATTATAAATGAGATTTCAGATCATAGGACTAGATTTCTTTTAGTGAACATTTTTATTGAGCTATGATTATGCATACAGAAAAGTGCACAAATCATAAATATATAGCTTGATAAATATTCATAAGGTGAATGCACCTATGTAACCAGCACCTAGATCTTGAAACAGAACACTACCAGCACCACAGAGTCCCTTTGTACCCTCTTTCAGTCCTACTGAGTTAAAGCCAGTTGAAAAATAATGTATACTGTATGGTTCCACTCATATAAAATTCAAAACCAGACAAAACTAATTGATGGTGATTTTGATAATGCTTACCTTTGGGAAGACAGGTAGTGACTGAAAGGGGGTGCTGATTTCTGACACCATACATAAATGCTATCTGTTTTGAAATTCACCAAAATGGAATCAAAGTATGCACTTGTGTCTGGTGAAGCCTACTGATATTTGTATGTAAATTGTATTTAATAGCTACTTTACTACGTTCTTTTATTGTTTAGTTTTTCAACAAGTTCCTTTGGGCTTTCTAGATACATATTCATATCTGCAAATAGTTTTACCTCTTCCTTTCCAATTCACGTCTTTATTTTGTCTAACTTCATTGGCTAAAACTCTCAACACATTGTTAAGTAGCAGAGGAGTTAGTGGGCATGTCTTGTTCCTGACTTCAGCTGGAAAGTCTCTTTTGCTTTGAAATTTAAGATGCTGGCTTTTAGGTAGAGGTACAATGTTAATGGATTATTCATTGATTTCTACTTAGTATATTTAACATAAGTGAGTGCTCAATTCTATCATGTCTTTTCTGCAAAGATGAAGATTTTTTTCACTGAATATGATGAATATTAACAGATTATCTAGTATTGAATTACCCTTGCATTCTTATAATAAACCCAACTTAGTCACGATTACCTTTTGAAAGTGCTGTTGGATTGTTTGCTAATATATCATTAAAACTTTTTATTAATATTCATGAGATTGCTCTATAATTTTCTTTTTGGTACAATCTTTGTCAGGTTTTTGAATCAATGCTATTACATTAACTTTAAGTAATGAATTTAGGAGTTTCTTTTTTTTTTTTGGCACTTTGAGGTTCAATATTATTTTCCTAGTCTCTGGAATTGCTTAAGCAAGAACAGGATTATTTAGTCTTAAAAGGTTTGGTAGAAATCCCCTTGAAACAATCTGGGCTTGATGCTTCTTTTGGTAGGGGGTACTTTTAACTATTTGTTTCCTCTATGGTAATTGGTTTGTTGTGACTTTCTTTATCTACCTAGAGTAAATTATGGCAATTTGCATTTTTCTCAAAATAGTTTTCCAATTTATTGTGTAAAATTGCTCAAAGTAGTCAATTTAAACAAATTTCTTGTTTTACTATTTCCCTCTTGTCATTTAAATTTTTGTATTTGTGCTTCCTCCTTTTTTTCTTAAATAGGTTAGCTGGTAGTTTATCTCACTCAACTCCCCGCACTACCTATCACCAACTTGGATGTATTGCCTCTCTTGTTTTGGTTTTCTACTAGTAATTATTTTTTGCTTTTATCTTTATTAATTCCTTCCTTCTGCTTTATTTTGCTTTTTACTCCATGTGTTTGGTACTTGGTTAATTTTCACCTTTTCCTACTTTTACTGATGATTGTACTAATTACTATAAATTTCCTGTCATATTTGCATTTTTTTTTTGCAAATATTAGGTTTTTATCTGTCTTGTGGTCATGTCTCTCTGGTGTGCTTTCATTGTCTGTGAGGATGTTGATCTATTTATTCTCTTATTTCTTATACTAACTTTGAATGGAGTTGGACTGTAATTCTGGCTCAGTTACTCTTTTTTTCCGCTTAACTGAAATGAGTTTTTCCGTACTTTTAGGAGGGAGGAGTGGCTCTAGGATGACTTCACAGCCTTAGAGCTCCCATTTTTACAGTGATTTAAAAGAATATATATATATATGTATATATGAAAATACATATATATAATGTCTCTGTATCTTGACCTTTCTTCCCAATACTTATCTAGATCTAGATTCCCAATACTTAGCTTTCTCGTTTGTCCTCAGCACTGGATTTTGTTTCATAAGCTTCAAGAGGTACACAGTGTAAAACCCAGACTGCTCTAATGCGATCATCAGACCTTATCATATTGCTTTAACATTCATCTGCAAATGGGATTCTGTAGTCACTTCCCAGTTTCAGTGCCTGTTCTTAGATTGTCCCACTGCACTTTGTAGTGAGAAACTGTGGGCAGTGTTGTCGTTCGCCAGTTTGCAGAGCTGTCAGAAACCAGCTGCCTTCCTTCTACTTCCTCCCACAGATGCTGAAACTATGTGGGTCAGTGGTTTGTCCTCAGTTGTATTTTGAAGTTCATGCAGATACCTTGTCATCTAGCGTTGTAATAGTGTCTGTGACTATCCTAGTTGCTCTGTATTTTTATGGCGAGATTAGAAAACAACACTGTTGTCATCATTTTCCCTGAGGTTAAACTGTTAAGACCTCTTTCTGTTGTAGAAGAGAGGTTTTAATTGCAAAAATAATTTTATGATCATTATAAAGAAACTATAATTTGAAATTTTCTGTATTCCAGGTACTATCCTAAGTGCATTATCTGTATTATTTCATTTAATCCTAAACTCTGTGTGTTAGGTTTTATCTATTTTCCTTATTTTATCAATGGGAGAGTTAGGGTCCAAGATCATGCTGCTGAACTGGCAAATCTGGCATTTAAACCCAGGTCATCTGATTCCAGAGCACCTCCTCATTAACTGTCTCTCAAAAATGATCAGGTCCAACAGTTTTCAAATTATATACTACTGTCAGCAAGATTTCTGTATGAATTTAGATTAAATATAAATGTTTAAAGATATAATACCACATATATATTATAGATCAAGTCTAAGAACACTGAAATGATAAACAGGTTAAATTATGCCATATGATCTGATTAATCTTATTTGTATGCAGATGCTCAAAACAAAGCTCCTCCTCCTACCTTCTAAAAAAAAATACCACAAAATTAGGGGACGGGAAGGAGACGAGTAGGGAGTAGGAAATAGAGCTTTTTGAGATTTCGGACTTCATATTTCCCCTTATTATATCACTCCTGCTAAGGAATAAAGTATGTATGTGAAATATTGCTTATAATTTATTTAATCGGTAAATATTTTTCTTGGAAATAACTAGTTAGAAAAGTTAGAAATAGTTTCTCCACATTTCACACTGGCCTGCTATTTTCTGGTCAATTAAGTTGCTGTGGAATGTGAACATTTACTAGTCCATGAAGTTTCACAAGAAAGTCTCCCACAAGTATATCAATTAGAAGCTTACTAAAATTTATAATTTTATGGTATTAAATTATAAGGAGTTAGAAAATATTTAGCCTTCTGAAATACTTTTAGATTGGAATTTTTCTCTAACTTACATTCATGAATACAGTCACTGTTACTACCTTTATTACCTTCTAACCTTTCCTGATGATATAGAAAAAAGAATTTGGGCTTTTTATATAGTCCTAAAGCCATTATGTATATGCTACTTCCACTTCCAATGTCTAAGAGATGACTTAGTTTGAGATATGGATGTCTTAATCTGCCAGGATTTAAATAGTAGCAACTGGAATAACCCACAGAAGGATAATATCTGTTATTAGGCTTATTTTTTTCCCCCACCATCAGAAGATTTATTTTATTTCTAATTAAAAAACATACAGTTGACTTTGGCAAACTCAGGTTTAAAACTAAGCATGCCAGTAATAAATGAATCATTTCTCCAAGTACATAGTGTTTCCCTTGGGAAAGACTGTAATTTTACAACATTTTTTCTCTAATTTAGAAAAAAAGATAACATTTAAAATATTACAATTCCTAAACAGTGATACCAGTAATCTAGTTTTTATACTGAGGTTTGTATTTCAACATTTATTATCACCAAGACTAACTTAAACCCAACTCCTTTAGTGAAGAGATTTCTTTCCCTATTTCAGTACTAGACTCATAGTTCTGAATGTCACTGAGCAAGTAATGGAAATTAATTACGAATGAAGAGTTTTTATACTATCTCCTTCATAATTAGCTAGTTCATAGACTTAAGAAAACAAAACAATGAACAAAAACAAAACCCTGGTTCTTACCCTCTAAATGCTTACATTTCCCTCTCACTTACCTGAGAATATGAGAATAAAAATGACCATGTATAGAGTTGCACCACTGAATCTATTTGAATGGTTCTGTTTTTGCATTTTTTTACTTATTTAATTTGAAAAAAATTAGAAAAGTATTAGTTTGAAATTAAAGCAGCTAACACACTGGGGGCAACAAATTAAAAAATTCAAATGGCTAAAAATAAAAACACAAAGTATCTTTCCTTGTAGATAAAAAAGATTGTTTTCTTCCTAGAAAGCAAAAAAAAAAAAAAAAAAAAGGCAACGAATGATTTGAGAATAAAATCAAACATAACTGGTATTCACCACAGCAATGTCTAAATAAATGACCCACATAGCACAAAACTTCCTCATTCACAATCACATATAGTTAGTTGCTTTTCCCTCAGTTACATAATAGTTGTCTTCAAACAATCTCCTTTTAGAAAACTATCACATTAGTTAAACCTATTTATTCTTACTATGAAGTTATTAATTTCATTTATATAGGCCACAGAGGTTTAATTGGCACACTTTACTTAAAAATAAGACAAAATAAATCACTCTTCTTTAAAAAAATTATGGTCATCTGTTTTCAAAGAATAATCCCAGATACTTAATTCATTAAAGCAAATTTTCTACCATCAGCAGTGAGCTTTTTAAATGATTACTAAGTGTTCACCTGAGGATTATCAATGCTATATGAAGGTAAATTTGTTTTGAAGATTTGTGTCCATTTTATAACAAGATACAATTTGCACTGAAGAGTTTTTAAAAAGATAACCTACACACATACAGTTAATTTGCCTCAAACAACTTCTTAGAAATACAGTATAAACATTTAAGAACCATGACAAAGTTGTGGTTCAAACTTCAACACAGATTTTCTTGAAACCCAGTACAAAGATTACTGGCTCAAGACCATATCCCAAAGTGACCTCAGCAGGAGATTTGATTGTAAGACTCTACCTTTTAAAAAAAGAGCACACTTGGTTATACATGGCTTTTAAACTTGAGCTACAGTTATGCTACAAATCCCCCCACCCTCCCAATCTAAAATCAGTTATGTGGAGATATGTACATTCTCTGAGCATTGTTTGAGAGTCCTTGGTTTTCCAACTTTGATGGAGATCTAGAAGGCATTCAGAAGTCCGTGTGCTTACATTCAGAGTAGGATGAACTTTACAAATTCTACTTTCCTCTGTTAGTGACAGGCCACAGATCCCAAAGTATGCATGCAAAGCACCTGGATGACTGGCCACTTGGCAAATCCCCCTACGAGGCGATCTTGAGTTGATAAGATGGAATTTCTATTTTTCTCAAAGTTAGTGTATTGGAAAATTTTTAGAAGCTTTAGAGTTGCTCCCACCCAAAAAGAATAACGGGTGTCTACAGGCTTATTAGGTCTTCCATGATAACTATTTTGTTGCCCCATTATACACCACCTCTTTATCGTGTTCAATTCTTTTTCTGAAAAAACTTCTAGTTTACCCATCAGACATAGTGAGGCAATGCCACAAAAAGTAGATCCTCCATGAGATTCAAGTCCAGCTCCCTGTGCCAGTCCATTGTCATAGGACATACTTCTTTTAATATAGGAGATGGCTTTTTTCATATCCATGCCTGACTGGTTATTGAGCATATAGCAAATACAGGAAGCACAGTACAAAAATCGCATATCATTTTCACTGCCTTCAGGTACTGCACAAAAACTCCCATCTTCCAGCTGAAGGGCTCTCAAGCCTGCTAAGCAAGCTTCTTTATTTACTCGGCTTAAGTCGTCTCCAAGAATAACTAAGCATGAAAGGCCAGTGTAGGTCATTGCAATGTGGCCACTATCATAAGGATGAGCTGTTCCAGGAGCCTTTGATGGATTGAAAGGAATACCCAGGTATGAAGAGCCTCGGAAACCACAGCGATTTAGATTTCATCTGCCTTCTGTGGGAAGGACCTGCTTGTCTCGAGTGAAGAATAGCGCTCCGGCAAATCCTCAAGGCAGCGCTGGAAAAATCGCACGTGCAGATCCCGCAAGAAATCCAGCCGCTCTCCCTCACCGCTCCCTGCTAGCCTCTCATCCTCAGTGGCTTCCATGCTGCTCCGGAAGCGACGTCCGCCTCGACCTAGATGATGTTATTAAGAGATGGAGTGAGTTTAGATAGAGAAAAAACGTACACCTGAGTACTGAAACCTTTTTACCCCAAGGTTTAGAGATTAGACAGGATGAAGTACCTGCAAAGGAGATTAAGAAGCTAGGTAGAAGGAAAACCTGGAGAGCGTTGTCAACTGAAAATACAATGAGGATATTTTTGTCAATAAGGAGAGAGTCATCAACTGTATGAAATGCTGTTGCTACTTGGGAGGATGAGGTGGAAGGACCATTTGAATCCAGGAGGTTGAAGCTGCAGTGAGCCACTGCCCTCCAGCCTGAGTGACAGAGCAAGATCTTGTCTCCAAAAAGAAAAAAAAAAAAGTTGCTGATAATTCAAGCAACATGAGTATGGAAAATTGACCATTGGATTTAGTGATTTGGTCATTGACAGTGTGGTTTCAGGAATGTGGTAGCGATAAGACACTCATTAGATAGGGTTCAAGTGTGAATAAGAGCAGAGAAATATAAAAAAGAGTAGATTTGGGAGGCCGAGGCGGGCAGGTCGTGAGGTCAGGAGATCGAGACCATCCTGGCTAACACTGTGAAACCCCGTCTCTACTAAAAATACAAAAAATTAGCCGGGCGAGGTGGCGGGCACCTGTAGTCCCAGCTACTCCGGAGGCTGAGGCGGGAGAATGGCGTGAACCCGAGAGGCGGAGCTTGCAGTGAGCCGAGACCGCGCCATTGCACTCCAGCCTGGGCGACAGAGCCAGACTCCGTCTCAAAAAAAAAAAAAAAAAAAGTATGAGAACTTTAAAAAGTGTTATAAATAGGGCCAGGCGCTGTGGCTTATGCATGTAATCCCAGAACTTTGGGAGACTGAGGCTGGTGGATCACTAGGTCAGGAGTTCAAGACCAACCTGGCCAAGATGGTGAAACCCTGTCTCTACTAAAAATACAAAAAAATTAGCCGGGTGTGATGGTGGGCGCCTGTAATCCCAGCTACCCAGCTACTCAGGAGGCTGAGGCAGAAAAATGCTTGAACCCGGGAGGCAGAGGTTGCAGTGAGCCGAGATCACGCCACTGCACTCCAGCCTGGGCAACAGAGCAAGACTCCGTCTCAAAAAAAAAAAAAAGTTATAAATGAGTTGTAATAGTTGCTGTAAATTCTATGAGGTTCCACAGCATGAAACATATGAGACAGTATGCTAATAAGCATGATAGAGTAAAGGGGGTACATTTTATAATCCTGAGGAAGGAACACTTGTGGGAGTAAGACACTTGAACAGATTAAAGTGAAGTTAATTCTAGAGTCATCAGGAATAATATCACATAACAATAATAAAACACCAAAAAGTCCTCTATTACTTCTTTCCAATTTTTTGTCAACTGTAAATTTAAGAGAAAATATTGATTGATCCTATCCCGAATTTGAGTAGTTTGTTTTTCTTAATAAAATATGATTTATAATTTTTCCAGAAGACAAACTACTTTCTTTAACTTCTGACCCACTCTGTTTGTAGTGTATAAAAAGCTGTATCACTATGTGATACATTTAGAGAAAGGAACTCCTTTTTTTTTTCTTGATTAGTAATTTTTTTCTTGTATCAATTGCATTCACCTGGGGAATATAAATTTATATTTAACTCTTATGCCTGATAAGATGCTGACATTAGTAATGATATATAAATTAACTAGTAGTAAGTTTTAAATGGTAATTAAGACGATATAATTTAAAAGCAGAAGTATCAAGTCAAAAACAAATTCAATTTAGTATACTCTTAAACTCTTTAATGTAAAAGTGTAAAACTTTTCACAAAATGCAATGCTGTGAAAATAAAGCTTTTTTCAACTTTATTTCACTAGTTTATCTCTTTCTTTCTCTGTTTTCATCATTTCTCCCCTGCAGTTGTTTTATGCCACTCTATTTCTCTTTCATGAATTCTATTTTCCACAATTTTTCTGGCAATAGAAATTTAAACATCTTACTCATTTTTATTGTCCTATTTTAATTGTTGCTGTATTTTTTTCTTATTCCAGATATATTGCATGATTAAATTTCTCAACTAGAAGATATACAACTATAGACTATATTTCACACAAAGACACTGCACATCCTATTATGGAGGAAAAGTGATGATTCTTGGTGTTACCATTTAGACAACAGAGCACAGAGTATTTAGGGAAAGTTATGAATCCTAACATTAAAGAGCGGAATGTTCTTGCCATGTGAAGCATGAAAAGTAATGTGAACATAATCTTCTCTTCTTGTCTATGAAATTGTGTTTCCAATGGCAAAGCTTTCTCAATATCATTACCCTCTGGGGGTTATGCCATGTCCTAAAGTAAAGAGTCTGTACTTTGAAGTCAGCATGGCTTTGGATGACTTTCTTAATAGATCTGAACTTCCAATTTCTCATCAATAAATTATTGTCTTTCTCATTGGTTTTAACAGTGATTATACAGGCTGATATATATAAAGTACTTTGCATAAAGAATGGCACATTGTAGAAGGTCATTAGGTATTTTTTTCACTGTAATACAGGTAATAATTTTGATGTTTTAAAATGTGTTTACTCATTCAATAAATCTATTGAGTGCTTACTGTGTCCAAACAAAATTCTGAGTACCAGGGTGAGAGTAGTTTAAAAAATAAAAGACAGAAGTTTTTGCTGTCCTGCAGCTAATATTCTAGTTTTTATCTTGACATCATTTTGAATTTTCCTTTCTATTCTATTTGTGATTGCTCTCTCTAAACTTTTTTCATCTTTTCAGATCTTTTGCACTAAACAGGTTGAGAATTATAGTGCATGTAAGTTATTCCATTTTCCCATTAAATGTGAGCATTTAAGATTTTGATACATACTATTTTTTGGTAAAAATGTATTTAGCTCAACAGAGTAAAATAAGTATGGCTATAGCAATTATTTGCCATATAAGGTATAATGGCAGCATAAAAATTTTCATGCATGTGGTCTATGTGAAATTTTGTCTAAGAGAGTTGAAATCAGTATAGATTCTTAAAGCAGTGGAGAAAAACAGATTTCTATTTATTTTCTCCCCATCTTGTGGGTAGATAATTTCTTTTAAAGTATCAACCTCAAACAAACATATGACATAGGTTTTTGCCTGTTGGATCTTTTTATAATTTGAGTTTATGCTTATTTTCTCATTCATAGTGAGGATACAGAAATATTTTTATAATATGCCTAAATAAAAAGATTTGCCTCTAACTTTTTTTTCTAATGAAAAATAAGCAAGACTTACAAAAAAAATCTTCTTACCAGGCTCTTTGTGGGCAAAGGTTGCTTCTCATCTCATTTATTTTGCCTTACGCATTGCCCTTTCTCACTTGAATTGCTTGCATGGAACTATTCATTGTCTTCACTTCTCTGACATATACTCAGAAGGCATCTTCATTTGGGACCATTTTAAATTGATCCTGCATGCTTACGTCTTACTCAAAGCATATTTTTTCCTTGGTCTATCCTTTTTTTTTTTTTTTTTTTTTTTCGAGATGGAGTCTCACTCTGTCCCTCAGGCTGGAGTGCAGTGGCGCGATCTCGGCTCACTGCAAGCTCCGCCTCCCGGGTTCACGCCATTCTCCTGCCTCAGCCTCCCGAGTAGCTGGGACTACAGGCGCCCACCACCACGCCTGGCTAATTTTTTGTATGTTTTAGTACAGCTGGGGTTTCACCATGTTAGCCAGGGTGGTCTCGATCTCCTGACCTTGTGATCTGCCCGCCTCGGCCTCCCAAAGTGCTGAGATTACAAGAGTGGGCCACTGCGCCCAGCCTTTGCCTGGTCTATCCTATCGACACATGTTCCAACAGATGAGGTCATGAGGTTTACCCTAAGCTACATGACCTGCTCAGCTTAATAGTTCTCTAATAGTCATCACTGAAATTGCGCGTAAACTGGGTTGTCACAAAGAGGTATTTTATGCAGCAATCAAAATTTGGTAATACATCATTTACTTAGTTTTGAGCATTCTTGGACTTAAAATCTTTATTTTTTATTTTTTTACTCCAGGCTACACTTTCTGCCCTAAACACAATGAGTCTGGCACACCTTTGCATAACAGTGGCTCATAGGGGTCACATTTCTCTAGGTTTTGTAGTAGATTCTGAAGGGAAATAGATGAAAAAAGCATGCCAGTGAATTTAATATACTGACAGGCTCATGTCTTCTCTTACTATTTACTGTGTTCTTGTAGTTTGAATTAGCAAATCTTAAAATTTCTGTATCTGATATGGCAAGCTCATTCAGGGAACCAATTTTTGATCAGTTTGTGCCTGGAATAAAGCTAGACATGAGAGATAACAAAGTTTAAGATGCTTAGAGACCGCTGAAAAAAATATGTATTGATTTTTCTTTGCCTTACTTTCTACTCCAGTTTGCTTTCATCATTACATGTTGAGCCCAGGACAAGAAAACCTTGGTAAAATTTCTTTTTCTTCTTCAGGATGATAAAAAAATCTCTTTTTACTTTTAAAAGTTAGATCTAATACATTATATTTGCATGTTAATAGGCTGTCATAAGTTTCCCTAGGAAATTTGCAGATTTCTCATGAAACTTAGAAAAAGGCTAACTATTCTGTACTAATAATTTTTTTCGTGTTCTATTTGTTAATCTATTCATGTATTTACTTTTTATGGATATGCAAGAGTTGTACATATTTATATAGTACAACTCTCATGTATCTATAACAAGTAAATGTGATATTTTGATACATGCATACCATGTGTAAAAATCAAATCACCATATTTAGGTTATCCATCACCACAAAGGTTTATTATTTATTTGTTTTGGGAACATTTCAAATATTCACCTTCAGCTATTTTGACATATACGATAAATTAGTAACTAGTCACCTTACAGTGCTATTGAACTCTCGAACTTATTTCTTCTACCTAATTGTATGTTTGGTCCCATTAACCAAATAAACTCCGCACAGTTCCATGATTACTCTCCAGAGCTATTTTCTCCAGTTAGCAATATAAGTACATGCAGTTGAGAAAGGGTATTTTCACGGTGGTATTAGATTCTACCCTTATTGAAATTTGAAACTTCCTAACATCTGTATTCTTAGTGTCTCATGGAATCTGAGCTACAAATTGTGAAATGTATTCTGGCTTTGTACACATATATGACATCTCACTGTTTACCACCTGTTGTAGTGCACCAATATTGTAAAGGTTTGCTGGCAAAGCCCTGCGTTTCTTTTTCTCTGGTATTACCCTTTGTGTTTATCTGTAGCAACCACCTGGCACTCTCCTGCTTTCACAAAAAAACACGGTGGGTCCATCCTCAAAATGAGCCTCCCTATTACCCAGAAGACAGATGAAATAGTGTCTTCTCACAGATGGTCTGTGATGTATACCTTAGCTGAATATCTAATCATGAAAAGTAGTCGGGGATTAACTACAATTTGCCAGAATCAACTTAACTTGTGCCACAAACTTATGCTTTAAAAGCAAAAAAGTATAAAAAGATTATTTCAAGATGACAAAAACTTTGGCAACTATACTTTACATAAAATATGTGTTTCACAATTGTATTTCACTTTATTGCCTCATGTCTAAATAGTTCAAATGTGTGAATGCAATTAGGAAATATTTCTTTCATTATAAAAACAGTGTTTTTATGATTGCACTTTAAAAAAGGCTAGTTAAAATGTTTAAGCATTTCATAAATGTTCAATTTAAAATCAACAGTTTAATCCTTTAGAATGACGAGGTTACAATGCTTAAGCATTTCATAAGTGTTTACTCTAAAAGGAATGTTTTAACCATTTAAGAAGGTTTAACAAAAAATATTTTGGGGTTTTAAAATACTTTTTCAAACAAGGCAAACATAAAGTTATAGCTAAAATCTCAACAGTATGGTGTTTGATTTGAGAGATTGAAGGTATTTGTTTCATTTGGTTTTACTGAATGATTCATCAGCTATGCCGTGAAACTTAGAAATATCAACTCTTGGGCTCATAAGAACACTTTATTATCTTCATTGTCACTAGTTATTACTTGAGATATTGCAATCTAACTTTTTCTTCAAAAGACTGTGTTTTTCTAAACATATTCAACCCAGCCTAGACCAAATTCATGCATTATTTTTATAAAGTACAATATGTTCTGCTAATATCTCCAGAAAATTTTTTCTTGAAGTTGATTTATATGTAAATACTTTTACAACATGAATTTCACCCTAATTGACTTCTTATAAGGCAAGAAAATGCATAAATTTTTCTTAACTTTTACTAGCATCTATTCCCCGGAATACTCCAATCACTTATGAATAATATTTCAGTTCTGTATTAAAAATTTCTCTGTGAAGCTTGCTCTTGGATTATAGACATAGGTTGGTTTGACTGACCAGAATGCTTCCTTCATTATTTTGATAAAATAATGGTAGTTTTCCTTGGAGAATTACCCCTTACTTCTTTTGTTTTGTTTTGTTTTGTTTTGTTTTGTTTTTGAGACACAGTCTCACTATGTCACTCAGGCTGGAGTGCAGTGGCACGATCTCGGCTCACTGCAATCCCCACCTCCCAGGTTCAAGCTATTCTCCTGTCTCAGCCTCCTGAGTAGCTTGGATTACAGATGTGTGCCAGCACGCTTGGCTAATTTTTGTATTTGGGGTAGAGACGGAGTTTCACCCATGTTGGCCAGGCGGGTCTCAAAATCCTGATCTCAAGTGATCCACCTGTCTCGGCCCCTGAAAGTGCTGGAATTACAGGCATAAGCCACTGCGCCCAGCCACTTCCCTGTTCTTAATCCATTGGTTTCAAAACCTGACAGCCTAGCTTCAGAGTTGAGCATATTACCTAGATCATTCTGTTTCTTGACAACTATGACTAATTAATATGTCATAAACATGACCCAAACTATACAAAATTAGTATCAGTTTTAAAATTTTGACTGGAAATGCCTGAAATAAATTATTTTTGGGGGGCAAGGTTCAGGCAGAAAGGCAAGGACTGTAGAATTTTAGAGCTTGTTGTGGTCATATTTATCAACATTAGATGTGAGATTTTGTTATTCAGAATGCTTTGATGTATCAAAACCTCAAAATGCTGCAAATGAGAAATCAAAACATTCATGGATTGAATATATACCTTGATTTTGTATCTCCAGTTTACTAAAAAAGCAGTCTGGCCAGTCCAGGAAATATGTCATTTCTCACTATTCCCGGCACATCAAGTTTTTCCTCACATTAAGGTAATGTTTCAGCATGTGCTTATTTTGTTTTTGAATATAATGGTGCACGGCTGTTTGGGCTATCAGAATTTTTTAAGCCATTAATTTTATCTCAGGTCTTTTTTGCATTCCACACCTTCCTGCATACTAACTAGGTGTGTAAATTTCTCTTAAAATCACATTTCCTTACCAGTCCAAATCAATTCATTCTTCCTTATCACATATATTCCTCTTCTATTACCTCAGAAATAAGTTAATAAAATACTTTACTGTTATCATTTATTTCTGATTGTAAAGTAATGATACAATAGATTTAGATCCTCATTTTAGCCATCATTTAATCATGATCATGTACCACTGAACTTAAAAGTTGGAAAAAAAGCAATCTAAATTTCATCTGAGCTCCAATCTCATGTAATTTATAAAATTTTGGAAGAACACAGGTAGGTACTCAGAGTAATCAACTTAGCTTTGGGAGAAGAATTTAATGTTTTATTATCTGCCACAACCATAGCCTGGTGAATTGATTTAAATCATTGAGCTATAACTGCTTTTTGAAGATTTTTTATTTTTCCCCTTCTTGTGAATTAGTAATTAACAAAATGTAAAAATCCAAATTCAATATATAATTTCATGTTATAAAATAAAGGTTACCCATGAAATACAGTTAATGGTCAAATAAATTCTTTGTTAAGATTGGGGACCTTTGCAATTTGTGAGAAACAGTCACACACACACACAAAGTCTGTAAACAAAGATAAAATGTTTTTGCTGAATAATGTAATTGTCATTTGCTGCTCCCTTATTGAAAGAAAGGTGTCTGTTTACCTGGATTGTTGCTTAAATCTGCCACAAATTTGCTACTCAAAACCTTATTTATTATATTATAGCAAATAGGGTAATAATTACTGTCAGAGAAGGGGACATACTTTTTGTAACTCTTTACATTTTTCTTAAAATACAAATTGGTATACAAATTTTGATTTTGAATCTTTCAATTATGTTTTCACTACGTCCCATATATCCTCTAAGTTTTGTCTTTTTCAACTTCAGTATACAGATTTCAGCAATACTGTAATTTTTTACTGAGTACTTAACATATATGAGAAAAAGATACTTTACAATTTCCACATGCTGTAATGAAATATGTTGAGCTTAGTTTATGTTAACTGCATCTAGTTCTTGCTTGATTTCTTCTTTTTTCCTCTAAAGTTATATTTTATCTTGCAAGTTGTGTATGTATGTGTATTAGTTATGTGTTTGTTTAACAAATTATCCAAAATCTTAGTGGATAAAGCAGCAAACATTTATTATCTCACAGTTTCCATGAGTCAGAAATTCAGATAATGCTTAGCTGCATTCTCTTTGCCTGAATATCTCACAAGGCTAAAATCAAGGTGTCAATTGGGCTATCGTTATTCCAAGGTTCAATCAGTGATGAGTCCACTTTCATAGTGACTCAAGTAGCTGTTGGTGGGACTCAGTTCCTCCATGGTTATTCTTAATTGGTGGTTGGCAAGAGGCCTACTTCACTGTTTTACCACATGGATGTTACCCATAAAGCATCTCACAACATGGAAGCAGCTTCAACAGGGCTAATAAATAAGAAGGCAAAAAAGAATGTGCAAGAAAAAAGTCAAAGGCTTTTGTCATCTAGACTTGGAAGTGATTAAGCTCAAGTGTGATTAATCTCAAGCCAACTATCAAGCTGAAAGGACAGGATATGAATATTAAGAAAAGGGGATCACTGAAAGCCATTTAGGAAACTGCCTACAAATTATGTGGATATGGATGTTTTACGAAAATAAAATTCCTTGTCTTAGAGTGGTTTCTTTTTACTTTTTTTCTACATCTAATATTTTAGAACCCAAAACATGGGGATAAAGACAAATTTTAGCATCTTATCCTTAATATTTAGGAGCACAGCATACGTCATGTTGAGGATGCTACTATGCCTTTACATTATGTTGGAAAGTATATATTCATCTCTGGCTCTCTTTTTTTCTCTCAAGTGATGGTGATTTATAATGTCTAGAATAAAGTATACTTAGAAGCCAAATTAAAACTGTATTTTATCATATTCGTATAAGCTTACTAAAGTATTACTAAATACTCCTGTTTGCATCTTAATCATCTCCAAACTTTTTTCTCCTACTATGGCATCTTTTCATATCTGCATGAACCAAATGTGGCTTTTGAAATAGGAAATTTTGGATGGAATAATAATCCACTATGAAGGAGTCATATAGTTAATGTAAGGAGAAGGGCTGACTTACAAGATGAGACCTAAATATATTTTTAAATTCTTAAACACTACTATACTTTCTCCTTAATGTACCCACAACATATGTCTCAGATTTCAATAGTCCTTGGAGACACATTTTCCTCAAATACCTGAATAAAAAGACAAACCTACAATCTTGCTTTATTATATATAAGAACTTAATAATTTACCAAGTATTCAAAGATATCCAGGAACATTTATCTTCTTCAAAATATTTCCTGATTTTAACTTGCTATTCCATTTCTCATCTGGATCCAGATCAGAACCTTTACCTACTTTTCTGCAGGTTACTCACTTCTGGCTTTCTTCGTGCTTGTGTGGCTCTTTTTTAAACACTTCACACTGAGTTGTGGACACCTATCCCTTCTTTTTTCAAAAGGTCTTTTTTCCCTTCTTTTTTCAGGAGGCAAGGAAGGGGGAGGCAGTAGGAAGGACTGAACAGAGAGGAAGAAGTGCGAAATACTCATTTGGAACAATGGGAGATTGAATAGACCGGAAAAAGAATGATTAAAGTGAGGACTGCTGGCATGGTCCTGTTTTCTTCCAGCCATGTTTAGTTGCATCGTTGTGGCATGGAATAGATGGAGAGCTGAGTTTATCCAGGGCTCCCATCTTACTAAGCAGATAGGAGGTGACAGGGAGGTGGGTGAGTTGAGGAGGTGTGCAAGGGACCAATGAGAATGGTTGGCCATGGAGTTTAAGCTCGCTCACTAGAGAGGGAAAAGTCATAAAGGAAGGAAGAAACAGTGAAAAGGTAGTAAGATCTGGATTGGAGGTACTGGTAAGGTTGCAAGAATTTTGTTTCAGGGCAGTATAGGGAGTAACCTGGATAGCTAGGAGGTGGTGGTCAGAGTGGGCTACTGTGGGGTTTGCAGTCCTTGGACCTGACAAGGTCTAAGGTCTGATCATGGAGGGAGGGGGAAGCTGAGGTAGGGCAGAGGACAGGAGTGGGCTTCATGAGATCAAAAGGATGTTGGAAGGATTATCTACCCGGATACTGACATCTCCATGAAGTAAGAGGCATAGTGTGAAGAAGTTACAACATCCTAAGCTCTTCACAGATAAGGGAAGCATGCACCACGTGGGTAGCCTCTCTTGTTTAGCACCCAGTATATAGCCTATGCAGAGTGAATACCTGGGGGCTGCTGGGGGCGAAAACAAGGTCACTGTGACAGGACCTGAAGCCTGGGGGTCTCGGTGACAGGAGTGGGCCTAGTTTTTTGGTGTAGAATTGAGCCTTGAGTGCACTGGTGGGATCTTATTGAAAGGAACCCCTCCAAGACTAGAAGAAGATGCATCCTCTGACAATGTAGGCTCTGTAGGCGTCCCAAGTACCTGGGCTGTGGGTTAGATGGACTCCAAGGCATTTCCTCAGGTGGCAATGGGCCGATCCCTGGGAAGGCAAAGCTGTGCAGGAAGAAAATGGCAAGATGCTACCTTCCCTCAGGGAAAGCCCCTTTCCCGGGAGCAGGGAAGGCGAGGCAGTTTAGGCTGGGTCAGTTTGTCCCTGCCATCAGAGTCTGTTGGTCCTGGAAAAAGAGGGCCTTATTTTATTTATTTATTTTTCTTTGAGACAGTGTCTTGCTCTGTCGCCCAGGCTGGAGTGCAGTGGCTCGATCTCAGCTCACTGCAACCTCCGCCTCCAAGGCTCAAGCGATCGTTCCGCCTCAGCCTCCAGAGTAGCTGGGACCACAGGGACCACAGGCGCCCGCCACGACGCTGGCATTGATTGATTGATTGATTGATTGAGAGAGAGGTAGCCTCCCTGTGTTGCCCAGGCTGGTCTTGAACTGCTGGGCTCAAGCAATCCTCCTGCCTTGGACTCCCAAAATACTGGGATTACAGGCGTGAGCCACCGTGCCTGGCTAATTTTCTTCCTTTCTTTTTTTTCCTGCGAGACGGTGGGCGGGGGTATCTCCCTAAGTTGCCCAGGCTGGTCTTGAACTCCTGGGCTCAAGCGATCCTCCCGCCTCAGCCTCCCAAAGGGCTGGGATTACAGGCATGAGCCACCGCTTCCTGCCAAAAGAGGGCTTTAGGGCACCCCCAGAACCTGAGATCTCCCTCATCTGTCATCTTTAAAGAGAAGGAAGTCGACTCCCAGTCGAGCCATAGTCCATTTGTCCCGGGCACGGTGACTCCGGGGTGGCCAGGACCAAATGTGTCTCCTTCTGGCTTTTGCACCGCACCAACTAATCCGCGGCAGGCCGCACAGCTGCCCTGGCCTTCGCGGAGGACTAAGGCGAGGGCGGTGTACGCTGCTCCGGAGTCCCACCGCGGGAGTTGAGGCAGCGGATTCCGAGGGCAGGGTGGGGCGGAATCGGGAGGGATGCGGACCCGGTGGAACGCACTGCGCAGACGGCGCCGGCGCCCGCACACAGCTGTTGACTAGTCTTCCAGCTCTCCCCTGGAAGTCGTCCAGGCGCCGGTCTCTTTTTTCTGCCTTTTTGTTTCCCTCCCCGCGAGTCGGCGCGACGGTGAATTTCCGTTTCCGGCGGTGTGGAAGCGGACCTGAGGAGTCGCAATTGTGAACAGGTTCGGTGCTGCGGCTGGGGTAGGCGGCAGTGGGGTCCCTGGCTCTGGGGCACTGGGAAGATCGCGAGTCGTGCGCGTGGGAAGGTCCTTCCCTGGTCCTCCGGGTTATCTTTGCTCCCCAGGAGCAGCATATTTCACCTTTAACGGAGGCGTGCCCGGGAGTCGTTGGGAGAGGGAACGGGGTGAATCCCTGCAGAGAGCCTGACGGGGAGGGAAGGTGTCCGGGAGACGTCGTTTCCTGGCGACGTGGTCCCAGCAGGCGACTCGGACCTGAGCCGAATCTGTTGACCCCAAATTGTGCTTTTCCCACCAAGAGCAAAAGAAAGAGAAACATTAGTACAGCTTCGGAACTAAAATATAGTAGAGAAGCAACATAACCTCGGAAATCCCACAGCTATTCAGTTTCAAAGCGTTCCTAGTGCCCAGCTCTCCTAACTCCCAGCCGGTGTTCCTTGACGTTATGGTGATATATAAAGACTTTCTGTTTCCGCTCGTGTTGTGTGTCTGTGGGAAGCCTCTGACTCACTTCTGTGCTCCAGTAGCACCCTGTGCAGCCTTGCAGTGTATCCCTTATTGCACGGAAGGTACTAGTTTGGATTTCCTCTGCAAGTCAGATCATAGCTATATCCATTCACTGGCACAGTGGCTAGCACATCATAGATAGACCAAACATTTATTAAACGGAATTAATACAGGACCTTAATTGAATGAAATGGCACCCTTTCCCGCTTTTTTTCAATCAAGCTGTCAGATTTTATGCAGCCTGATATTCTTAAAAAACTCACTAATTCAGTGATTACCAATTTATTGGCCACAGATTCCCAGGTACCTCAGAAATCACTGGAAGGGTCTCTGTAAGTCCATGGGGTCTCCAGGCATCATTTAGAACCAGTCATATCTCACACATACAGATACTGCTGTTTTTCAAATGTGTGTAGATGAGTTATAATTCAGGAGTTTTACAGAGGTGACAGGTACTAAAAGTAATACTGCGATCCTATTGGAAGTTCATAAAAACGTTTTAAATTTTTTATTACAATTTAAGTTTAAGTTAGGAAACCACTTCATTAGTCCAGTTGATACCTAGGTCTGAGCTGTCCAGTATGGTAGCGACATGTGACTGTTTAGAGTTAGAATGAAATTAATTAAAAATTCATTTTTTCAGTTTCTTTAAGAACATTTGTTTAGGGCCACAGGTTTCCAGGCTTAAGGGTGGGGCCTTTGCCAGGGAACCACTCTCTTCTACCCAGTATTTTCCTGTCTCCTGTCCATATCACAGGGATATACTCCGGCAAGTATTGCTATTAATTACTTCATTCATTCAACAGATGTATTGTGACAGATACTGTGCTAGCCACTTTCTGGGGCATAATGATGAAAAGAATCTGTCCCTTCCCTCAAGATCACTGGAAGCCGGGGGTCTAGTAGGAAGACAGAAAAGAGAACAGATGATTACATTTTCATGAAAGGCATGCACAAGGTGTTATAAAAATAAAGAGAAAGAGCACCAGCCCAGACTGGGTATTTGAGTACTGGGACTGTTCAGGAAGATGTAACATCTGTATGAGTTCTTGACAACAAGTGAGAGTTAAGCAAATAAAAAGTAAGAATGTATCCTATATAGAAGAAACGATATATGCAAAGGTCCAGAGGGCAGGCACATTGATGGACCACAATTAGTTGAGTAGCATGGAGTAAGTATGCGGAGGGTGATGGTAAGGAGATGGTAGCCAGAGTGGGAGACACAGGTTAGCTGATGGATAGTCTTGCATGCTATGCTACTGAGCCTTCACTCAGTAAGGAAGGCTTTGGGGGAACTGCAGTAGGATTCTAAGCAAGAGAATGCTTTGATAAAATTTTGTGATTTAGAAAGGTCAATAGATGGCAGTGTAGAAAATGAATTGGAAGGGCTTGTGTATAGGCAGAGGACTGATTAAGAAGCCATAGTGTAATTAAGATCTGGGCAAGACATGGACATGCACACTTGAGGGTGAAGGCTGGGAGGAGGGAGAGGATCAAAAAACTACTTATCAGGTACTGTGCTTATTACCTGGATGATGAAATAATCTGTATAACCAACCCTCATGACATGTGATTTACCTATATAACAAACCTGCACATGTACCTCTGAACTTAATACAAATATAAAAAAAAAGAGATCTGGGTGAGAAATGAGGGTTTGAACTAAGGTGAAATCTATTTGTACCTTAGGAGAAAGTAAGACAGGAAAATGAAAGATCTCAGGAGATTTGAAGGAGACAGAATTACCAGATGTGGAGACTGATAGGATACAGGATGAGGGAGAGAGGAGTCTAAGGTAACTGCCGGCTGATCCTCACATGGGAGACTGGAAAGATGACATTCGCTGAGATGAGAATGTTGTGGAGGAAGCTGGTATGTCTGAAGTGGTGAGGTTGGTTTTAGATTTGATAACTTTGAAGTTCCTGTAGAAGAACCAAAGGCCTGGAGGTCAGCTAAAAGATGCATTTGGCTCAATTTCATGGCTTTGTGATGGATTAAATGTCTTTCTCCAGTTAGCACCTTCTAACTATTTATCCAGAAGTTACTAGGACTCTTTATTTTGTTTTATTTTTCTTCTGATATATGCCCTGGGGGAAAGCACTTATATTACAAGTACTTATAATAGACTAAAGCTTAGGAGCTAGCACCGTCTTTCATAGTAAATAGAGTGACAGTCTAAATGGCATAAGCAGAGAGAACCCACTGCTTTTAACAGGTAGTCCATAGGAGTCACTTACCTTGGCCAGTAAATGGAAATGCCCATCCTCTTTTGTCATACATAATCTTGAAGATTGTGCCAGTTTTGAATAATGTGAGATGTCAAGCATCACACTTACCTAAAATGCTACACCTCTGTAAATGGATTTAAATATGCAGAACCATATACAACTCTCCCTGCCTTTCCTGCAGGCTCAGCGATATGAGGCAGCATCGACAATTTATGGACCGCACGCATTATCTGCTTACATTCAGCTCTTCAGAAACCTTGCTAAGGCTATTGCTACGGTAATCAAATATTGTTTGTGCGTGCGTGCGTGCGTGTGTGTGTGTGTGTATGTCTGTATGTGTCTGTGTCTGGGTAAGAGGGAAGTGAAAGAGAACCTTAGCTTCGAGTGTTCAGTTTGACAACCTTTATATTTTACAAAATTTATAGTTTTGTGGTATCTCTAACAAAATAAATAAAATTTCTTTCCCAATTTTGGATCTAGTTAACATCCTTTCATGCTGGCAGCTTCTTTCATATGTATTTTCTCACTATTTTTACAACCATCATGTGAAATTAGGGAGATATCATTTCTCCCCAGTTTTCAGAGGAGCACATAGGCTTGAAGATAAGTGATGAAGCTTACTACACCTGGGAGTTGAACCTGTGTTTTCTAATCCTTGCCAGATTCTCCCCACTCACTCCAAAAGTTGAGTAGGTCAGCATTCTAAGATGCCCATTTTCCACATTATAATATCTTGGAAATTGGGATGCATTTTCCAATCAGAGGAAGCTTATTATTATAATTAGTAGCATGCTTTTACTTTCTTGGTGGTTCAAAAGATAATATGAGTTGTTAAATCAATGGAAGCTTAGATTTGATGTAAAAATAGTGGTGCCTTGGAATAAAAACATTGCATCTACCTAAAATATATACCACTGAACAAGTTTACTTGATTTAAAGGAACTTCACTTGTGGAAATCTTCCCTTTGGATGCAGTTGTTTATGAAGCTGCAACTGTGATGTCAGAAGGTTAGTCAACAAACAAGATAAAGAGCTTAAAATAATAAGCAGCCCCTTATATAATAATATGTAAGCCTCAGTAAAAAATGTGAAACAATTGTGGCATAGCAAAGAAAATAAAGCCCTTTTAATGAAAGAGCTTGGATATATTAAATTGAAATAAATGAAATGGTTGTCTCTGTAGGTTGCATCAGTCGAACGTTGAAAATTTCATATGCCTGTATTATTACTGATTGTGTGTTTGAAATTTCAGTATTTTATATAATTTCTTTGCACATATTTTAATCAATTGATATTTATTTTCATTTTATCATAATTTTGGTCTCAGTTTTAGGTTACTTTTTTTGAATAACTGTTTGTATTTATTTATTTATTTATTTCTATTATAAAATCCAAATCTATTTGTAGGTCATTCAGATTATACAGAAAAGCATAAACCTATAATCCATCCCTAGAGATAACTACTGTTTAACTGTCACTATGCTCATAGGTCTATAGTTCTTCCCAAGAAAATAGATTCTTCAAATTTTGTAGTGACAATGAAGAAAAATGCAATTAATTTGGTGGAAATTTGTTTTACAGACAAATTTCTGGTCAAGCACCTTAAAACTAGCTATGTGATCTTGAAAAAAACCACTGAATATGTCTAAGCCTATTTTCTCATTTGCAAAATGGGAATGGTAATACATAACCTATCTCATATCATATGCAGTTGTAAAGATTAAATCTATAATGTGAGGAATAAAGAGCATTAAATATTCATTGAAATTAATGGCAAAATGCCAATTACTTTTGTACCAACCTAATATAGATATAGGGATATTTGAAAATTGAGATTTGTATTTTTATGACACTATTAAAAATGGTAAACTTTGTGGGCAATATAGATTAAACCAGTCAGGATGTGGGATGATCTTAAATTTTAAATTAAAAATATATTTATTATATTCTTTTATTAGCACAGACAAGAATCTAGGAAAAAACTTGGTACTCACTCCAGGTGAGAGTGGCTCAATACTTTTTAAAAATTAAAATAATAATTACACTGTCATGGTATAATTATCTTTTTGCATGTTAGGCCCCTGTACAAGGTCAGACAATTTGAAAGTATGCTTCCAACCTTGTACTCTGGTCACTGTCCTTATGTTGTCTAGGGGAATAAAAGAGTTGCCTATGACCAAAACTTTCTCCCAGTGACAAGAGTTTAAATTATGAATTTCTAGGCTCATGCTTAGCAAGGCTACCTTCCTATTTTGCTCAAGGTTGTTAGCTCTTGGAGTATGTATATGTGTGTGTGCACTCTTCCATTAATGCAGGCATTTCTGGGTCTGGAGGCCTGGGGAAAGGGTCTTTGACTCTACCTGTGCACTCCTTAACAAATGCTCTCTGTTCCAGGACATGGTAGCCAACCTGAGCAGAGGTCCAGAACCTCCCTTTTTCAAACAATTAATAGTTCCATTAATTCCTAGTATTGTGGATAGAGCACCAAAAGGCAGAACTTTCGGGGATGTCCTGCAGCCAGCAAAACCTGAATACAGAGTGGTAAGACTCATGAGCAGACCTTGGAATCCTTTAGAGGGATGTTTTGGGGGATGTCACTTTGTGTCACCATTTGCCTCTAATCATGCTGTAGACCAACTGTTAGCAATGATAATTTTGACAATTGTTCTTATCTCTGCAAAAGTAATGAGAATGGGGAAATATTTATTTTTTGTAAGTAATTGTGTCAAATTGAAATTCTAAAATCCAAATTATTCCTTTTCTTAAGTGAATGATCATGGAACTATTCACTGGCACTGAGAGTTGTCTCTTAAGTCAAGGATAGGAAAAACATACAGAAATGAAGCAGAATTTGTACCATTACTATTTTATATCAATCTTGTGTCCTGAAAGCTTGCTGAATCAGTTATTAGTTTCAACAGTTTTTCTGGGGGGAGGAGGGATGAGAAGAGGGGAGTCTGGATTCCTTAGGAATTTCTACATATAGTATCATGTCATCTGTGAATAAAAATAAGCTTATTTATTCCTTTCTATATTTCTTTTCTAAATGCACCTAATTATTTATCCTTATTGGACTGGCTAGAATCTTCAATAGAATGTTCTGCTTTTTAAAAATTTTTATTTAATTTTCTAATTGATAAATAAAAATTATATATATTTATTGTGTACAAGATGATGTTTTGAAATATGTATACATGGGGAATGGCTCAACTGAGCTAATTAACATATACATTATGTCACATACTTATTATTTTTTGTTGTGAGAAAATTTGAGACTTTCTTAACAATTTTTAAAACACAATATGTTGTTTTTAACTGAAGCCATCAAGTTGTACAGTAGCCCTCTTGAACTTATTCCCTTTGTCTAAATGAAATTTTATATTCTTTGATCAATAGAATATAAAATTTCAACCCCCTAACCTCCTAGCCCCTGGTAACTAACCTTCTGCCAACATTCTACTCTCTACTTCTATGAGTTTAACTCTTGAAGGTTCTATATATAAGTGAGATCATGTGGTATTTATCTTTCTGTACCTGGCTTATTTCACTGAATCTAATGTTCTCCAGGTTTATCCATGTTGTATCAAATGTAAGGATCTCATTCTTATTTATGACTGAATAGTATTCCATTGTGTATATGTACTACATTTTCTTTATCCATTCATCCATTGATGGACACTTAGGTTGTTTCATATCTTGGCTATTGTGAACAGTGCTGCAATAAACATGGGAGTTCACATATCTCTTCAACAAACTGATTTCATTTCCTTTCTCTATATACCCAGAAATGGTATTGTGTATATATTTTACAGTAGTTCTATTTTTAATTTTTTGAGAAACCTCTTGCTGCTTTTCATAATGGCTGCACTAATTCACATTGTCATGAACAGTGTGCAAGAGTTACCTTTTTCTACATTCTTATCAACACTTGTCTTTTGTCTTTTTAAATATTATACATTCTAACAGGTATTAGGTGATATCTTGTTGTAGTTTTAATTTGCATTTCTTCGATGATCACTGATATTGAACATTTAAAAAAATACCCTGTTGAGCATTTGTATGTCTTCTTTGGAGAAATGTTTATTCAGGTCCTTTTCTTATTTTCAAATTGGGTTATTTGTTTTCTTGCTATAGAGTTGTTTGAGTACCTTATATCTTTTGGATATTAACTCTTTATTGGATGCATAGTTTGCAAGTGTTTTCTCCCATTCTTTAGGTTGTCTCCTCACTTTGTTAATTGTTTTTTTGGTTGTGCAGAAACTGTTTAGTTTGATGTAATATGTGCCTGTTTTTGCTTTTGTTGCTTTTGCATTAGGGGTCATATTAAAAAAAAAAAACAAACATCACCTACACCAACATCATGGAACTTTTCCTCTAGGTTTTCTTTCAGTTGTTTTATAGTTTCAGGTTTTATATTTAAATCTTTAATCAATTTTGAGTTAATTTTTATATTTCCTTCTTCTGCATGTGGATATCCAGTTTTCCCAGCAGCATTTATTGAAGAGACTGTCACTTCCCCATTGTGTGTTCTTGGCACTTTTGTCAAAAATCAATTTATCATAAATGTGAGGGCTTATTTCTGGGCTCCATTGGTCTATGTGTACCAATGGTGTGTTGATTACTTTAGGCCAGTACCATGCTGTGTTGATTACTATAGCTTTGTAGTATATTTTGAAGTCAGGTTGTGTGGTACCTTCATCTTTGTTTTTTTTGCTGAAGATCCAATCCAATGTCAAATAGAAGTTGTGAGACTGGACACTCTTGTCTTGTTTCCAATCTTAGTAGAAAAGTATTCAGTTTTTCACCATTTAGTATGATGTTTTCTTTAGGATTTTTTGTAGATTCTCTTTTTCATGTTTTATGCCTAGCTTATTGCAAGTTTTTGTCAGAAATCAGTGTTGGGGTTTTGCAATTTTTTTTCTATTGAGGTGACAATGTGGTTTTGTCTTTTGTTATTTTAATAAGGTATTTGCATTCATTGGTTTTCAGATGTTAAATAAATGCCGTATCATTTAGTCATGGTGTATAATCCTTTTTAGATGTTGCTGAATTTGATTTGCTGATATATTGTAAGGAGTTTTCTACTCATGTCCATGAGGGATATTTTTAGTTTTCTTTTTATGTGTTGTCTTTGCCTTTGGTATTGGGGCAATAGTGCTTTCAAAGAATGAGTTGGGAAATGTTTTCTCTTGTACTTTCTGAAAAAGTATCCAAAAGATTGGCATTATTTACTCTTTAAATATTTGATTGGATTGACCAGCAAGGCCATATGGACCTGGCTTTTCTTTATGGCAAAATTTTTATTACTAATTCAATTTCTTTACTTGTTATATGCCCATTCATATGTCCTATTTTTTTCCTTGCATCAATTTTGTGTCTTTCTAGGAATTTATCTTTATAGGAATTGGTATCATTCTAGGAATTTTCTCATTTCATATAAGTTGTTTAATTTGTTGGTGTAATATAAAAGTTGTTGTTGCTCATGATAATCCCCTGTAATCCTTTTAATTTCTGAAGAGTTGACAATTATATCCCCTCTTTCTTTCTAATTTTGGTAATTTGTGTCCTCAAAGAACTAGCATTTAGTTTTATTGCTTTTACCTATTGCATTACCTATTACTAAATTTTTTAGGCAGGACCAGAGCAGATTTTCATCTTGAGCAAATCCCTTCCTCACTTCCCCCAGCACCCCTCATCCCCTCACACACTAATGTAAAATTCTTTTGAATTATGAGGTTTTCCAGTCTGGCCTGGTGGGAACAGAATCTTGTCACAACTCTATGAGCCTGGGGACTGTTCTCTGTAATTCTGTTAGCCCATTCTTTTCCTGGCTTCCAGTAGTTCCCTTATATGCATGCAAACTTGAGGGGAGCTTTCTGCAAATCTCCAGATTTCTGTCTCTGTGCAGCTATCCTCTCTATGATGCTCTGTGCTATAAACTCAAGACTGTTTGGCTTTTGTGGACACCCAGCTCCATATCCTCAACTTAGACTGCCAGACTTGGCCTGAATTCTCCTTCTGCCGTGGCCCGTAAACTGATGACATTGAGCTGGTGGATTACAGGGTTCTTGTTTGTCTGCTGCCACTCAAATATCACTGTCTTTCTTTGTCACTTGAAAATCCATTGTTTAATATATATTTTTTCCAGTTTTTTAGTCGTTTCAGGTGGGAGGATAAATACACATCCTGCCACTCCATCTCTTATAAAAATAAAAGCTTAACTATAAATGTAAGCATAAATATGAGTCATCTGTGGAAAGTTTTGACTGTTCTAATTTGATTCAAATATTCCCTGTATTTGTGTTGGGAGGGAGGTGTGAGGAATTATCAAGGCCTGAAGAAGCCATTTTAATATGCTGTCACTAATATAAACTACAGCTCTAGATCTTCACTTGTATCTGAGTCTACCAAAAGCAAACTCA